>NC_000019.10:24498980-24552652 GCF_000001405.40 Homo sapiens
AGTATTCTCAGCAACTTCTTTGTGACGTTTGCATTCATCTCACAGTGTTGAACATACCTTTTCATAGAGTAGTTTTGAAACACTATTTTTGTAGAATCTGCAAGTGGATATTTGGACTGCGTTGAGACCTTCATTGGAAATGGGAATGTCTTCACATAAACACTAGACAGAAGCATTCTCTGAAACTTCTTTGTGATGTGTGTATTCAACTCACAGAGTTGAACCTTCCTTTTTTATGGAGCAGTTTTGAAACACTGTTTTTGTAGAATCTGCAAGTGGATATTTGGAGCGATTTGAGGCCTATGGTAGAAAAAGAAATATCTTCATATAAATAGTAGACAGAAGTATTCTCAGAAACATCTTTGTGATGTTTGCATTCAACTCACAGAGTTGATCCTTCCTTTTAATAGGGCAGTTTTGCAACACTCTTTTTGTAGAATGCACCAGTGGGCTTTTGGAGCACGTCAAGGGCTATGGTGAAAAAGGAAATATCTTCACATAAAAACTAGACAGAAGTATTCTGTAAAACTCCTTTGTGATGTTTGCATTCAGCTCAGAAAGTTGAACTTCTCTTTATATAGTCCAGTTTTCAAACACTATTTTTGTAGAATCTGCAAGTGGATACTGGGACTGCTTTGAGGCCTTCGTTGGAAACGGGATTATCTTCACATAGAAACTAGACTGAAGGATTCTTAGAAACTTCTTTGTGATGTGTGCATTCAACTCACCGAGTGGAACCTCACTTTTGATAGAGCAGAGTTGAAAGACACTTGTTGTAGAATCTGCATGTGGATATTTGGAGTGCTTTGAAGCCTTCCTTGGAAACGGGAATATCTTCACATAAAAACTAGACATAAGGATTCTCAGAAACTTCCTTGTGATCTGTCCATTCAACACACAGAGTTGAACTTTCCTTTTTATGGAGCCGTTTTGAAACACTGTTTTTGTAGAATCTGAAAGTGGATATTTGGAGCGCTTTGAGGCTTAAGGTAGAAAAAGAAATATCTGCATATCAAAACTAGACAGAAGCGTTCTCAGAAACTTCTTTGTGATGTTTGCATTCAACTACCAGAGTTGAACCTTCCTTTTGATAGAGGAGTTTTGAAATGCTCTTTTTGTAGAATCTGCACGTGGATACCTGGAACGATTTTTGAGACCTATGTCTCAAAAGGAAATATCTTCCTATGAAAAATAGACAAAAGCATTCTCAGAAACTACTTTGTGTTATGTGCATTCAACTCACAGAGTACAACCTTTTTTTTGATAGAGTAGTTTTGAAACACTCTGTAGAATCTGAAAGTGGATATTTGGAGCTCTTTGAGGGCTATGGTGGAAAAGAAAATATATTCACATTAAACTAGCCAGAAGCATTCTCAGAAACTTCTTTATGATGTTTGCATTAAACTCACAGAGTTGAACATACCTTTCCATAGAGCAGTTTTGAAACACTCTTTTTGTGGAATCCGCAAGCGGATATTTGGACCGCTTTGAGACCTTCGCTGGAAATGGGAATGTCTTCACATATAAACTAAACAGAAGCATTCTCAGAAACTTCTTCGTGATGTGTGCATTCTACTCCCAAAGTTGAACCTTCCTTTTCATAAAGCATTTTTGAAACACTCCTTTTGTACAATCTACAATTGGATATTTGGAACGCTTTGATGCCCGTGGTAGAAAAGGAAATCTCCTCATATAAAAACTAGACAGAAGGATTCACAGAAACTGCTTTGTGACGTGTGCATTCAAATCACGGAGTTGGACCTTTCTTTTGTTAGAGCAGTTTTGAAACACTGTTTCTGTGGAATCTGCCAGCGGACATTTGGAGCGCATTGAGGGCTATGGTGGAGAAGGAAATATCTTCACAGAAAAACTAGAAAGAAGCATTCTCGGAAACATCTATGTGAAGTGTGCATTCAACTCACAGAGTTGAACCTTCCTTTTGATAGAAGAGTTTTGAAACACTCTTTTGTACAATTGCAGGTGAATATTTGGAGCGCTTTGAAGCCTTTGTTGGAAATGGGAATATCCTCACATAAAAACTAGCCAGAAGCATTCTCAGAAACTTCTATGTGATGTGTGCATTGAACCCAGAGAGGTGAACCGTTCCTTTGAGAGAGCAGTTTTGAAACGTGTTTTTGTAAGATCTGCAAGTGGATATTAGGGGCGCTTTGAGTCCTTAGGTGGAAACGGGAATATCTTCGAATAAAAACTAGACAGAATGATTCTCAGAATCTTCTTTGTGATGTGGGCATTCAACTAACACAGTTGAACATTTCTTTTGACAGAGCAGTTCTGAAACACTCTTTTTGTAGAATCCGCCAGTGGATATTTGGAGCGCTTTGAGGGCTATTGTGCAAATGGAAATATCTTCACCTAAAAACTAGACCGAAGCAATCCCAGAAACTACTTTGTGATGTTTGCATTCAACTCATAGAGTTGAACCTACCTCTTCATAGAGCAGTTTGGAAAACCTCTTTTTGTAGAATCTGCAAGTGGATATTTGGACCACTTTGAGGCCTTCATAGGAAACAGTACTATCTTCACATAAAAACTAGGTAGAAGCATTGTCAGAAAATTCTTTGTGATGTGTGAATTCAACTCACAGAGTTGAACCTTCCTTTAATAGAGCAGTTTTGAAACACTCTTTTTGTAGAATCTGCAAGTAGATATTTGGAGCGCTTTGAGGCCTTCGTTGGAAACCGGAATATCTTCACATAAAAAGTAGATAGAGGCATTCTCAGAAACTTTTTTTGTGATATGTAGATTCAGTTCACAGCGTTGAACCTTTCTTTTGATAGAGCAGTTTTGAAAAACTCTTTTATCGAGTCTGCAAGTAGACATTTGGAGTGCTTTGAGGGCTGTGGTCGAAAAGGAAATATCTTCACATAGAAACTAGACTGAATCATTCTCAGCAACTTCTTGGTGACGTTTGCATTCATCTCACAGTGTTGAACATACCTTTGCATAGAGTAGTTTTGAAACACTATTTTTGTAGAATCTGCAAGTGGACATTTGGACTGCTTTGAGGCCTTCATCGGAAACGGGAATATCTTCACATAAACACTAGACAGAAGCATTCTCTGAAACTTCTTTGTGATGTGTGTATTCAACTCACAGAGTTGAACCATCTTTTTTATGGAGCGGTTTTGAAACAGTGTTTTTTGTAGAATCAGCAATTGGATATTGGGAGCGCTTTGAGGCCTCTGGTGTAAAGGGAATGTCTTCACATAAAAACTGGACAGAAGCATTCTCAGAAACATCTTTGTGATGTTTGCATTCAACTCACAGAGTTGATCCTTCCTTTTAATAGGGCAGTTTTGCAACACTCTTTTTGTAGAATGCACCAGCGGGCTTTTGGAGCACGTCAAGGGCTATGGTGAAAAAGGAAATATCTTCACAAAAAACCAGACAGAAGTATTCTGTAAAACTCCTTTGTGATGTTTGCATTCAACTCAGAAAGTTGAACTTCTCTTTATATAGTCCAGTTTTCAAACACTATTTTTGTAGAATCTGCAAGTGGATAGTGGGACTGCTTTGAGGCCTTCATTGGAAACGGGATTATCTTCACATAAAAACTAGACATAAGGATTCTTAGAAACTTCTTTGTGATGTGTGCATTCAACTCACCGAGTGGAACCTCACTTTTGATAGAGCAGTGTTGAAAGACACTTGTTGTAGAATCTGCAGGTGGATATTTGGAGTGCTTTGAAGCCTTCCTTGGAAACGGGAATATCTTCACATAAAAACTAGACATAAGCATTCTCAGAAACTCCTTTGTGATCTGTCCATTCAGCTCACAGAGTTGAACCTTCCTTTTGATAGAGCAGTTTTGAAACACTCTTTCTGTAGAGTGTGCAAGTGGATATCAGGAGCGCTTTGTCGCCTATGGCAGAAAAAGAAATATCTGGCTCTAAAAACTAGACAGAAGCGTTCTCAGAAACTTCTTTGTGATGTTTGCATTCAACTACCAGAGTTGAACCTTCCTTTTGATAGAGCAGTTTTGAAACGCTCTTTTTGTAGAATCTGCACGTGGATATCTGGAGCGATTTTTGAGGCCTACGTTCAAAAAGGAAATATCTTCCTATGAAAAACAGACAAAAGCATTCTCAGAAACTACTTAGAGATATGTGCATTCAACTCACAGAGTTGAAACTTTTTTTTGATAGAGCAGTTTTGAAACACTCTGTAGAATCTGAAAGTGGATATTTGGAGCTATTTGAGGGCTATGGTGGAAAAGAAAATATATTCCCATTAAACTAGACAGAAGCATTCTCAGAAACTTCTGTATGATGTTTGCATTAAACTCACAGAGTTGAACATACCTTTCCATAGAGCAGTTTTGAAACACTCTTTTTGTGGAATCCGCAAGTGGATATTTGGACCGCTTTGAGACCTTCGCTGGAAATGGGAATATCTTCACATATAAACTATACAGAAGCATTCTCGGAAACTTCTTCGTGATGTGTGCATTCTGCTCCCAAAGTTGAACCTTCCTTTTCATAAAGCAGTTTTGAAACACTCTTTTGTACAATCTACCATTGGATATGTGGAAGGCTTTGATGCCCATGGTAGAAATGGAAACATCCTCATATAAAATCTAGACAGAAGGATTCACAGAAACTGCTGTGTGATGTGTGCATCGAAATCACGGAGTTGAACTTTTCTTTTGTTAGAGCAGTTTTGAAACCCCGTTTCCGTGGAATCTGCCAGTGGACATTTGGAGCGCATTGAGGGCTATGGTGGAGAAGGAAATATCTTCACATAAAAACTAGAAAGAAGCATTCTCAGAAACATCTATGTGAAATGTGCATTCAACTCACAGATTTGAACCTTCCTTTTGATAGAACAGTTTTGAAACACTCTTTTGTACAATTTTAGGTGAATATTTGGAGCTCCTTGAAGCCTTTGTTGGAATTGTGAATATCTTCACATACAAACTAGCCAGAAGCATTCTCAGAAACTTCTTTGTGATGTGTGCGTTGAACTCAGAGAGATGAACCTTTCCTTTGATAGAGCAGTTTTGAAACGTGTTTCTGTAAGATCTGTATGTGGATATTTGGGGCGCTTTGAGTCCTTTGGTGGAAACGGGAATATCTTCTAATAAAAACTAGACAAAAATATTCTCAGAATCTTCTTTGTGATGAGGGCATTCAACTAACACATTTGAACATTTCTTTTCACAGAGCAGTTTTGAAACACTCTTTTGGTGGAATCTGCCAGAGGATATCTGGAGCGCTTTGAGGGCTATTGTGCCAATGGAAATATCTTCCCCTAAAAACTAGACAGAAGCATTCTCAGAAACTACTTCGTGATGTTTGCATTCAACTCACAGAGTTGAACATACCTCTTCATAGAGCAGTTTTGAAAACCTCTTTCTGTAGAATCTGCAAGTGGATATTCGGACCACTTTGAGGCCTTCATAGGAAACAGTAATATCTTCACATAAAAACTAGATAGAAGCATTGTCAGAAAGTTCTTTGTGATGTGTGAATTCAACTCACAGAGTTGAACCTTCCTTTAATAGAGCAGTTTTGAAACACTCTTTTTCTAGAATCTGCAAGTAGATATTTGGAGCGCTTTGAGGCCTTCGTTGGAAACCGGAATATCTTCACAGGAAAAGTAGATAGAGGCATGCTCAGAAACTTTTTTGTCATATGTAGATTCAACTCACAGCGTTGAACCTTTCTTTTGATAGAGCAGTTTTGAAAAACTCTTTTATCGAATCTGCAAGTAGACATTTGGAGTGCTTTGAGGGCTGTGGTGCAAAAGGAAATGTCTTCCCATAGAAACTAGACTGAAGCATTCTCAGCAACTTCTTTGTGACGTTTGCATTGATCTCACAGTGTTGAACATACCTTTGCATAGAGTAGTTTTGAAACACTATTTTTGTAGAATCTGCAAGTGGATATTTGGACTGCTTTGAGGCCTCTATCGGAAACGGGAATATCTTCACATAAACACTGGACAGAAGCATTCTCTGAAACTTCTTTGTGATGTGTGTATTCAACTCACAGAGTGGAACCATCTTTTTTATGGAGCGGTTTTGAAACAGTGTTTTTGTAGAATCAGCAATTGGATATTTGGAGCGCTTTGAGGCCTCTGGTGGAAAGGGAATGTCTTCACATAAAAACTGGACAGAAGCATTCTCAGAAACATCTTTGTGATGTTTGCATTCAACTCACAGAGTTGATCCTTCCTTTTAATAGGGCAGTTTTGCAACACTCTTTTTGTAGAATGCACCAGTGGGCTTTTGGAGCACGTCAAGGGCTTTGGTGAAAAAGGAAATATCTTCACATAAAAACTAGACAGAAGTATTCTGTAAAACTCCTTTGTGATGTTTGCATTCAACTCAGAAAGTTGAACTTCTCTTTATATAGTCCAGTTTTCAAACACTATTTTTGTAGAATCTGCAAGTGGATACTGGGACTGCTTTGAGGCCTTCGTTGGAAACGGGATTATCTTCACATAAAAACTAGACTGAAGGATTCTTAGAAACTTCTTTGTGATGTGTGCATTCAACTCACCGAGTGGAACCTCACTTTTGATAGAGCAGTGTTGAAAGACACTTGTTGTAGAATCTGCAGGTGGATATTTGGAGTGCTTTGAAGCCTTCCTTGGAAACGGGAATATCTTCACATAAAAACTAGACATAAGCATTCTCAGAAACTCCTTTGTGATCTGTCCATTCAGCTCACAGAGTTGAACCTTCCTTTTGATAGAGCAGTTTTGAAACACTCTTTCTGTAGAGTCTGCAAGTGGATATCAGGAGCGCTTTGAAGCCTATGGTAGAAAAAGAAATATCTGGCTCTAAAAACTAGACAGAAGCATTCTGAGAAACTTCTTTGTGATGTTTGCATTCAACTACCAGAGTTGAACCTTCCTTTTTGATAGAGCAGTTTTGAAACACTCTTTTTGTAGAATCTGCATGTGGATATCTGGAGCGATTTGAGGCCTATGGTCAAAAAGGAAATATCTTCCTATGAAAAACTGACAAAAGCATTCTCAGAAACTACTTTGTGTTATGTGCATTCAACTCACAGAGTACAACCTTTTTTTTGATAGAGCAGTTTTGAAACACTCTGTAGAATCTGAAAGTGGATATTTGGAGCTCTTTGAGGGCTATGGTGGAAAAGAAAATATATTCACATTAAACTAGCCAGAAGCATCCTCAGAAACTTCTTTATGATGTTTGCATTAAACTCACAGAGTTGAACACACCATTCCATAGAGCAGTGTTGAAACACTCTTTTTGGGGAATCCGCAAGTGGATATTTGGACCGCTTTGAGACCTTTGCTGGAAATGGGAATATCTTCACATATAAACTAGACAGAAGCATTCTCGGAAACTTCTTCGTGATGTGTGCATTCTGCTCCCAAAGTTGAACCTTCCTCTTCATAAAGCAGTTTTGAAACACTCTTTTGTACAATCTACCATTGGATATGTGGAAGGCTTTGATGCCCATGGTAGAAAAGGAAACATCTTCATATAAAATCTAGACAGAAGGATTCACAGAAACTGCTGTGTGATGTGTGCATCCAAATCACGGAGTTGAACTTTTCTTTTGTTAGAGCAGTTTTGAAACCCCGTTTCCGTGGAATCTGCCAGTGGACATTTGGAGCGCATTGAGGGCTATGGTGGAGAAGGAAATATCTTCACATAAAAACTAGAAAGAAGCATTCTCAGAAACATCTATGTGAAGTGTGCATTCAACTCACAGAGTTGAACCTTCCTTTTGATAGAAGAGTTTTGAAACACTCTTTTGTACAATTGCAGGTGAATATTTGGAGCGATTTGAAGCCTTTGTTGGAAATGGGAATATCCTCACATAAAAACTAGCCAGAAGCATTCTCAGAAACTTCTTTGTGATGTGTGCGTTGAACCCAGAGAGATGAACCTTTCCTTTGATAGAGCAGTTTTGAAACGTGTTTTTGTAAGATCTGCAAGCGGATAATTGGCTTCGCTTTGTGTCCTTTGTTGGAAACGGGAATATCTTCTAATAAAAACTAGACAGAATTATTCTCAGAATCTTCTTTGTGATGTGGGCATTCAACTAACACAGTTGAACATTTCTTTTGACAGAGCAGTTCTGAAACACTCTTTTTGTAGAATCCGCCAGTGGATATTTGGAGCGCTTTGAGGGCTATTGTGCAAATGGAAATATCTACACCTAAAAACTAGACCGAAGCATTCTCAGAAACTACTTTGTGATGTTTGCATTCAACTCACAGAGATGAACATACCTCTTTATAGAGCAGTTTTGAAATCCTCTTTCTGTAGAATCTGCAAGTGGATATTCGGACCACTTTGAGGCCTTCATAGAAAACAGTAATATCTTCACATAAAAACTAGATTCAAGCATTCTCAGAAACTTCTTTGTGATGTGTGAATTCAACTCACAGAGTTGAACCTTCCTTTAATAGAGCAGTTTTGAAACACTCTTTTTGTAGAATCTGCAAGTAGATATTTGGAGAGCTTTGAGGCCTTCGTTGGAAACCGGAATATCTTCACATAAAAAGTAGATAGAAGCATTCTCAGAAACTTTTTTTGATATGTAGATTCAACTCACAGCATTCAACCTTTCTTTTGATAGAGCAGTTTGGAAAACTCTTTTATCAAATCTGCAAGTAGACATTTGGAGTGCTTTGAGGGCTGTGGTCGAAAAGGAAATATCTTCACATAGAAACTAGACTGAAGCATTCTCAGCAACTTCTTCGTGTCGTTTGCATTCATCTCACACTGTTGAACATACCTTTTCTTAGAGCAGTTTTGAAACATTCTTTTTGTAGAAACTGCAATTGGATATTTGGACTGCGTTGAGGCCTCCACTGGAAACGGGAATATCTTCACATAAACAATAGACAGAAGCATTCTCTGAAACTTCTTTGTGATGTGTGTATTCAACTCACAGAGTTGAACCATCTTTTTTATGGAGCGGTTTTGAAACAGTGTTTTTGTAGAATCAGCAAGTGGATATTGGGAGCGCTTTGAGGCCTCTGGTGGAAAGGGAATGTCTTCACATAAAAACTGGACAGAAGCATTCTCAGAAACATCTTTGTGATGTTTGCATTCAACTCACAGAGTTGATCCTTCCTTTTAATAGGGCAGTTTTGCAACACTCTTTTTGTACAATGCACCAGTGGGCTTTTGGAGCACGTCAAGGGCTATGGTGAAAAAGGAAATATCTTCACATAAAAACTAGACAGAAGTATTCTGTAAAACTCCTTTGTGATGTTTGCATTCAACTCAGAAAGTTGAACTTCTCTTTATATAGTCCAGTTTTCAAACACTATTTTTGTAGAATCTGCAAGTGGATACTGGGACTGCTTTGAGGCCTTCGTTGGAAACGGGATTATCTTCACATAGAAACTAGACTGAAGGATTCTTAGAAACTTCTTTGTGATGTGTGCATTCAACTCACCGAGTGGAACCTCACTTTTGATAGAGCAGAGTTGAAAGACACTTGTTGTAGAATCTGCAGGTGGATATTTGGAGTGCTTTGAAGCCTTCCTTGGAAACGGGAATATCTTCACATAAAAACTAGACATAAGCATTCTCAGAAACTCCTTTGTGATCTGTCCATTCAGCTCACAGAGTTGAACCTTCCTTTTGATAGAGCAGTTTTGAAACACTCTTTCTGTAGAGTGTGCAAGTGGATATCAGGAGCGCTTCGAGGCCTATGGCAGAAAAAGAAATATCTGGCTCTAAAAACTAGACAGAAGCATTCTCAGAAACTTCTTTGTGATGTTTGCATTCAACTACCAGAGTTGAACCTTCCTTTTGATAGAACAGTTTTGAAACGCTCTTTTTGTAGAATCTGCATGTGGATACCTGGAGCGATTTTTGAGACCTATGTCTCAAAAGGAAATATCTTCCTATGAAAAATAGACAAAAGCATTCTCAGAAACTACTTTGTGTTATGTGCATTCCACTCACAGAGTTGAACCTTTTTTTTGATACAGCAGTTTTGAAACACTCTGTAGAATCTGAAAGTGGATATTTGTAGCTCTTTGAGGGCTATGGTGGAAAAGAAAATATATTCACATTAAACTAGACAGAAGCATTCTCAGAAACTTCTTTATGATGTTTGCATCAAACTCACAGATTTGAACATACCTTTCCATAGAGCAGTTTTGAAACACTCTTTTTGTGGAATCCGCAAGTGGATATTTGGACCGTTTTGAGACCTTTGCTGGAAATGGGAATATCTTCATATATAAACTGGACAGAATCATTCTCGGAAACTTCTTCCTGATGTGTGCATTCTGCTCCCAAATTTGAACCTTCTTCTTCATAAAGCAGTTTTGAAACACTCTTTTGTACAATCTACCATTGGATATGTGGAAGGCTTTGATGCCCATGGTAGAAAAGGATACATCCTCATATAAAATCTAGACAGAAGGATTCACAGAAACTGCTGTGTGATGTGTGCATCCAAATCACGGAGTTGAACTTTTCTTTTGTTAGAGCAGTTTTGAAACCCCGTTTCCGTGGAATCTGCCTGTGGACATTTGGAGCGCATTGAGGGCTATGGTGGAGAAAGAAATATCTTCACATAAAAACTAGAAAGAAGCATTCTCAGAAACATCTATGTGAAGTGTGCATTCAACTCACAGAGTTGAACCTTCCTTTTGATAGAAGAGTTTTGAAACACTCTTTTGTACTATTGCAGGTGAATATTTGGAGCGATTTGAAGCCTTTGTTGGAAATGGGAATATCCTCACATAAAAAGTAGCCAGAAGCATTCTCAGAAACTTCTTTGTGATGTGTGCATTGAACCCAGAGAGATGAACCATTCCTTTGATAGAGCAGTTTTGAAACGTGTTTCTGTAAGATCTGCAAGTGGATATTTGGGACGCTTTGAGTCCTTTGGTGGAAACGGGAATATCTTCTAATAAAAACTAGACCGAAATATTCTCAGAATCTTCTTTGTGATGTGGGCATTCAACTAACAGAGTTGAACATTTCTTGTGACAGAGCAGTTTTGAAACACTCTTTTTGTAGAATCTGCCAGTGGATATTTGGAGCGCTTTGAGGGCTTTGTAGAAATGGAAAAGTCTTCACCTAAAAACTAGACAGAAGCAATCCCAGAAACTACTTTGTGATGTTTGCATTAAACTCATAGAGTTGAACCTACCTCTTCATAGAGCAGTTTGGAAAACCTCTTTTTGTAGAATCTGCAAGTGGATATTTGGACCACTTTGAGGCCTTCATAGGAAACAGTACTATCTTCACATAAAATCTAGGTAGAAGCATTGTCAGAAAGTTCTTTGTGATGTGTGAATTCAACTCACAGAGTTGAACCTTCCTTTAATAGAGCAGTTTTGAAACACTCTTTTTGTAGAATCTGCAAGTACATATTTGGAGCGCTTTGAGGCCTTCGTTGGAAACCGGAATATCTTCACATAAAAAGTAGATAGAGGCATTCTCAGAAACTTTTTTGTGATATGTAGATTCAGTTCACAGCGTTGAACCTTTCTTTTGATAGAGCAGTTTTGAAAAACTCTTTTATCGAATCTGTAAGTAGACATTTGGAGTGCTTTGAGGGCTGTGGTCGAAAAGGAAATATCTTCACATAGAAACTAGACTGAAGCATTCTCAGCAACTTCTTTGTGTCGTTTGCATTCATCTCACAGTGTTGAACATACCTTTTCATAGAGCAGTTTTGAAACACTCTTTTTGTAGAATCTGCAATTGGATATTTGGACTGCGTTGAGGCCTCCACTGGAAACGGGAATATCTTCACATAAACACTAGACAGAAGCATT
The DNA here is from genome assembly GCF_000001405.40 of Homo sapiens. NCBI lineage: Eukaryota > Metazoa > Chordata > Mammalia > Primates > Hominidae > Homo > Homo sapiens. Next base: position 24,510,747 of record NC_000019.10, read on the forward strand.
CTCTGAAACTTCTTTGTGATGTGTGTATTCAACTCACAGAGTTGAACCATCTTTTTTATGGAGCGGTTTTGAAACAGTGTTTTTGTAGAATCAGCAAGTGGATATTTGGAGCGCTTTGAGGCCTCTGGTGGAAAGGGAATGTCTTCACATAAAAACTGGACAGAAGTATTCTCAGAAACATCTTTGTGATGTTTGCATTCAACTCACAGAGTTGATCCTTCCTTTTAATAGGGCAGTTTTGCAACACTCTTTTTGTAGAATGCACCAGTGGGCTTTTGGAGCACGTCAAGGGCTATGGTGAAAAAGGAAATATCTTCACATAAAAACTAGACGGAAGTATTCTGTAAAACTCCTTTGTGATGTTTGCATTCAACTCAGAAAGTTGAACTTCTCTTTATATAGTCCAGTTTTCAAACACTATTTTTGTAGAATCTGCAAGTGGATACTGGGACTGCTTTGAGGCCTTCGTTGGAAACGGGATTATCTTCACATAGAAACTAGACTGAAGGATTCTTAGAAACTTCTTTGTGATGTGTGCATTCAACTCACCGAGTGGAACCTCACTTTTGATAGAGCAGTGTTGAAAGACACTTGTTGTAGAATCTGCAGGTGGATATTTGGAGTGCTTTGAAGCCTTCCTTGGAAACGGGAATATCTTCACATAAAAACTAGACATAAGCATTCTCAGAAACTCCTTTGTGATCTGTCCATTCAGCTCACAGAGTTGAACCTTCCCTTTGATAGAGCAGTTTTGAAACACTCTTTCTGTAGAGTCTGCAAGTGGATATCAGGAGCGCTTTGAAGCCTATGGTAGAAAAAGAAATATCTGGCTCTAAAAACTAGACAGAAGCATTCTCAGAAACTTCTTTGTGATGTTTGCATTCAACTACCAGAGTTGAACCTTCCTTTTGATAGAGCAGTTTTGAAACACTCTTTTTGTAGAATCTGCACGTGGATATCTGGAGCGATTTTTGAGGCCTACGTTCGAAAAGGAAATATCTTCCTATGAAAAATAGACAAAAGCATTCTCACAAACTACTTTGAGATATGTGCATTCAACTCACAGAGTTGAAACTTTTTTTTGATAGAGCAGTTTTGAAACACTCTGTAGAATCTGAAAGTGGATATTTGGAGCTATTTGAGGGCTATGGTGGAAAGGAAAATATATTCCCATTAAACTAGACAGAAGCATCCTCAGAAACTTCTTTATGATGTTTGCATTAAACTCACAGAGTTGAACATACCTTTCCATAGAGCAGTTTTGAAACACTCTTTTTGGGGAATCCACAAGTGGATATTTGGACCGCTTTGAGACCTTTGCTGGAAATGGGAATATCTTCACATATAAACTAGACAGAAGCATTCTCAGAAAGTTCTTCGTGATGTGTGCATTCTACTCCCAAAGTTGAACCTTCCTTTTCATAAGGCAGTTTTGAAACACTCCTTTTGTACAATCTACAATTGGATATTTGGAACGCTTTGATGCCCGTGGTAGAAAAGGTAATGTCCTCATATAAAAACTAGACAGAAGGATTCACAGAAACTGCTGTGTGATGTGTGCATCGAAATCACGGAGTTGAACTTTTCTTTTGTTAGAGCAGTTTTGAAACCCTGTTTCCGTGGAATCTGCCAGTGGACATTTGGAGCGCATTGAGGGCTATGGTGGAGAAGGAAATATCTTCACATAAAAACTAGAAAGAAGCATTCTCAGAAACATCTATGTGAAGTGTGCATTCAACTCACAGAGTTGAACCTTCCTTTTGATAGAAGAGTTTTGAAACACTCTTTTGTACAATTGCAGGTGAATATTTGGAGCGCTTTGAAGCCTTTGTTGGAAATGGGAATATCCTCACATAAAAACTAGCCAGAAGCATTCTCAGAAACTTCTTTGTGATGTGTGCATTGAACCCAGAGAGATGAACCATTTCTTTGAGAGAGCAGTTTTGAAACGTGTTTTTGTAAGATCTGCAAGTGGATATTTGGGGCGCTTTGAGCCCTTAGGTGGAAACGGGAATATCTTCGAATAAAAACTAGACAGAAATATTCTCAGAATCTTCTTTGTGATGTGGGCATTCAACTAACACAGTTGAACATTTCTTTTGACAGAGCAGTTTTGAAACACACTTTTAGTAGAATCTGCCAGTGGATATTTGGGGCGCTTTGAGGGCTATTGTGCAAATGGAAATATCTTCACCTAAATACTAGACAGAAGCATTCTCAGAAACTACGTTGTGATGTTTGCATTCAACTCACAGTGTTGAACATACATCTTCATAGAGCAGTTTTGAAAACCTCTTTTGGTAGAATCTGCAAGTGGATATTTTGACCACTTTGAGGCCTTCATAGGAAACAGTAATATCTTCACATAAAAACTAGATGGAAGCATTCTCAGAAACTTCTTTGTGATGTGTGAATTCAACTCACAGAGTTGAACCTTCCTTTAATAGAGCAGTTTTGAAACACTCTTTTTGTAGAATCTGCCAGTAGATATTTGGAGCGCTTTCAGGCCTTCGTTGGAAACCGGAATATCTTCACATAAAAAGTAGATAGAGGCATTCTCAGAAACTTTTTTGTGATATGTAGATTCAACTCAGAGCGTTGAACCTTTCTTTTGATAGAGCAGTTTTGAAAAACTCTTTTATCGAATCTGCAAGTAGACATTTGGAGTGCTTTGAGGGCTGTGGTCGAAAAGGAAATATCTTCACATAGAAACTAGACTGAAGCATTCTCAGCAACTTCTTTGTGACGTTTGCATTCATCTCACAGTGTTGAACATACCTTTTCATAGAGCAGTTTTGAAACACTATTTTTGTAGTATCTGCAAGTGGATATTTGGACTGCTTTGAGGCCTTCATTGGAAACGGGAATATATTCACATAAACACTAGACAGAAGCATTCTCTGAAACTTCTTTGTGATGTGTGTATTCAACTCACAGAGTTGAACCATCTTTTTTATGGAGCGGTTTTGAAACAGTGTTTTTGTAGAATCAGCAATTGGATATTTGGAGCGCTTTGAGGCCTCTGGTGGAAAGGGAATGTCTTCACATAAAAACTGGACAGAAGCATTCTCAGAAACATCTTTGTGATGTTTCCATTCAACTCACAGAGTTGATCCTTCCTTTTAATAGGGCAGTTTTGCAACACTCTTTTTGTACAATGCACCAGTGGGCTTTTGGAGCACGTCAAGGGCTATGGTGAAAAAGGAAATATCTTCACATAAAAACTAGACAGAAGTATTGTGTAAAACTCCTTTGTGATGTTTGCATTCAACTCAGAAAGTTGAACTTCTCTTTATATAGTCCAGTTTTCAAACACTATTTTTGTAGAATCTGCAAGTGGATACTGGGACTGCTTTGAGGCCTTCATTGGAAACGGGATTATCTTCACATAAAAACTAGACTGAAGGATTCTTAGAAACTTCTTTGTGATGTGTGCATTCAACTCACCGAGTGGAACCTCACTTTTGATAGAGCAGTGTTGAAAGACACTTGTTGTAGAATCTGCAGGTGGATATTTGGAGTGCTTTGAAGACTTCCTTGGAAACGGGAATATCTTCACATAAAAACTAGACATAAGCATTCTCAGAAACTTCTTTGTGATCTGTCCATTCAACTCACAGAGTTGAACCTTCCTTTTTATGGAGCCGTTTTGAAACACTGTTTTTGTAGAATCTGCAAGTGGATATTTGGAGCGCTTTGAGGCCTATGGTAGAGAAAGAAATATCTGCATATCAAAACTAGACAGAAGCATTCTGAGAAACTTCTTTGTGATGTTTGCATTCAACTACCAGAGTTGAACATTCCTTTTTGATAGAGCAGTTTTGAAACACTCTTTTTGTAGAATCTGCATGTGGATATCTGGAGCGATTTGAGGCCTATGGTCAAAAAGGAAATATCTTCCTATGAAAAACAGACAAAAGCATTCTCAGAAACTACTTAGAGATATGTGCATTCAACTCACAGAGTTGAAACTTTTTTTTGATAGAGCAGTTTTGAAACACTCTGTAGAATCTGAAAGTGGATATTTGGAGCTATTTGAGGGGCTATGGTGGAAAAGAAAATATATTCCCATTAAACTAGACAGAAGCATCCTCAGAAACTTCTTTATGATGTTTGCATTAAACTCACAGAGTTGAACACACCATTCCATAGAGCAGTTTTGAAACACTCTTTTTGGGGAATCCGCAAGTGGATATTTGGACCGCTTTGAGACCTTTGCTGGAAATGGGAATATCTTCACATATAAACTAGACAGAAGCATTCTCGGAAACTTCTTCGTGATGTGTGCATTCTGCTCCCAAAGTTGAACCTTCCTTTTCATAAAGCAGTTTTGAAACACTCTTTTGTACAATCTACCATTGGATATGTGGAAGGCTTTGATGCCCATGGTAGAAAAGGATACATCCTCATATAAAATCTAGACAGAATGATTCACAGAAACTGCTTTGTGATGTGTGCATTCAAATCACGGAGTTGGACCTTTCTTTTATTAGAGCAGTTTTGAAACACTGTTTCTGTGGAATCTGCCAGTGGACATTTGGAGCGCATTGAGGGCTATGGTGGAGAAGGAAATATCTTCACATAAAAACTAGAAAGAAGCATTCTCAGAAACACCTATGTGAAGTGTGCATTCAACTCACAGAGTTGAACCGTTCTTTTGATAGAAGAGTTTTGAAACACTCTTTTGTACAATTGCAGGTGAATATTTGGAGCGCTTTGAAGCCTTTGTTGGAAATGGGAATATCCTCACATAAAAACTAGCCAGAAGCATTCTCAGAAACTTCTTTGTGATGTGTGCGTTGAACCCAGAGAGATGAACCTTTCCTTTGATAGAGCAGTTTTGAAACGTGTTTTTGTAAGATCTGCAAGCGGATAATTGGCTTCGCTTTGTGTCCTTTGGTGGAAACGGGAATATCTTCTAATAAAAACTAGACAGAATTATTCTCAGAATCTTCTTTGTGATGTGGGCATTCAACTAACACAGTTGAACATTTCTTTTGACAGAGCAGTTCTGAAACACTCTTTTTGTAGAATCCGCCAGTGGATATTTGGAGCGCTTTGAGGGCAATTGTGCAAATGGAAATATCTTCACCTAAAAACTAGACCGAAGCATTCTCAGAAACTGCTTTGTGATGTTTGCATTCAACTCACAGAGTTGAACATACCTCTTCATAGAGCAGTTTTGAAAACCCCTTTTTGTAGAATCTGCAAGTGGATATTTGGACCACTTTGAGGCCTTCATAGAAAACAGTAATATCTTCACATAAAGACTAGATGGAAGCATTCTCAGAAACTTCTTTGTGATGTGTGAATTCAACTCACAGAGTGGAACCTTCCTTTAACAGAGCAGTTTTGAAACACTCTTTTTGTAGAATCTGCAAGTAGATATTTGGAGCGCTTTGAGGCCTTCGTTGGAAACCGGAATGTCTTCACATAAAAAGTAGATAGAGTCATTCTCAGAAACTTTTTTGTGATATGTAGATTCAACTCACAGCGTTGAACCTTTCTTTTGATAGAGCAGTTTTGAAAAACTCTTTTATCGAGTCTGCAAGTAGACATTTGGAGTGCTTTGAGGGCTGTGGTCGAAAAGGAAATATCTTCACATAGAAACTAGACTGAAGCATTCTCAGCAACTTCTTTGTGACGTTTGCATTCATCTCACAGTGTTGAACATACCTTTTCATAGAGCAGTTTTGAGACACTATTTTTGTAGTATCTGCAAGTGGATATTTGGACTGCTTTGAGGCCTTCATTGGAAACGGGAATATCTTCACATAAACACTAGACAGAAGCATTCTCTGAAACTTCTTTGTGATGTGTGTATTCAACTCACAGAGTTGAACCATCTTTTTTATGGAGCGGTTTTGAAACAGTGTTTTTGTAGAATCAGCAAGTGGATATTGGGAGCGCTTTGAGGCCTCTGGTGGAAAGGGAATGTCTTCACATAAAAACTGGACAGAAGCATTCTCAGAAACATCTTTGTGATGTTTGCATTCAACTCACAGAGTTGATCCTTCCTTTTAATAGGGCAGTTTTGCATCACTCTTTTTGTAGAATGCACCAGTGGGCTTTTGGAGCACGTCAAGGGCTATGGTGAAAAAGGAAATATCTTCACATAAAAACTAGACAGAAGTATTCTGTAAAACTCCTTTGTGATGTTTGCATTCAACTCAGAAAGTTGAACTTCTCTTTATATAGTCCAGTTTTCAAACACTATTTTTGTAGAATCTGCAAGTGGATACTGGGACTGCTTTGAGGCCTTCGTTGGAAACGGGTATCTTCACATAAAAACTAGACTGAAGGATTCTTAGAAACTTCTTTGTGATGTGTGCATTCAACTCACCGAGTGGAACCTCACTTTTGATAGAGCAGTGTTGAAAGACACTTGTTGTAGAATCTGCAGGTGGATATTTGGAGTGCTTTGAAGCCTTCCTTGGAAACGGGAATATCTTCACATAAAAACTAGACATAAGCATTCTCAGAAACTTCTTTGTGATCTGTCCATTCAACTCACAGAGTTGAACCTTCCTTTTTATGGAGCAGTTTTGAAACACTGTTTTTGGAGAATCTGCAAGTGGATATTTGGAGCACTTTTAGGCCTATGGTAGAAAAAGAAATATCTGCCTATTACAACTAGACTGAAGCATTCTCAGAAACTGCTTTGTGATATGTGCATTCGACTCTCCGAGTTGAAACTTTTTTTTGATAGAGCAGTTTTGAAACACTCTGTAGAATCTGAAAGTGGATATTTGGAGCTCTTTGAGGGCTATGGCGGAAAAGAAAATATATTCACATTAAACTAGACAGAAGCATCCTCAGAAACTTCTTTATGATGTTTGCATTCAACTCACAGAGTTGAACATACCTTTCCATAGAGCAGTTTTGAAACACTCTTTTTGGGGAATCCGCAAGTGGATATTTGGACCGCTTTGAGACCTTTGCTGGAAATGGGAATATCTTCACATATAAACTAGACAGAAGCATTCTTGGAAACTTCTTCGTGATGTGTGCATTCTGCTCCCAAAGTTGAACGTTCCTTTTCATAAAGCAGTTTTGAAACACTCTTTTGTACAATCTACCATTGGATATGTGGAAGGCTTTGATGCCCATGGTAGAAAAGGAAACATCCTCATATAAAATCTAGACAGAAGGATTCACAGAAACTGCTTTGTGATGTCAGCATTCAAATCACAGAGTTGAACCTTTCTTTTGTTAGAGCAGTTTTGAATCGCTGTTTCTGTGGAATCTGCCAGTGGACATTTGGAGCCCATTGAGGGCAATTGTGGAGAAGGAAATATCTTACATAAAAACTAGAAAGAAGCATTCTCAGAAACATCTATGTGAAGTGTGCCTTCAACACACAGAGTTGAACCTTCCCTTTGACAGAACAGTTTTGAAACTCACTTTTGTACAATTGCAGGTGAATATTTGGAGCGCCTTGAAGCCTTTGTTGGAAGTGGGAATATCTTCACATACAAACTAGCCAGAAGCATTCTCAGAAACTTCTTTGTGATGTGTGCATTGAACCCAGAGAGATGAACCTTTCCTTTGATAGAGCAGTTTTGAAACGTGTTTCTGTAAGATCTGCAAGTGGATATTTGGGGCGCTTTGAGTCCTTTGGTGGAAACGGGAATATCTTCTAATAAAAACTAGACAGAAATATTCTCAGAATCTTCTTTGTGATGTGGGCATTCAACTAACACAGTTGAACATTTCTTGTGACAGAGCAGTTTTGAAACACTCTTTTTGTAGAATCTGCCAGTGGATATTTGGAGCGCTTTCAGGGCTATTGCACAAATGGAAAAGTCTTCACATAAAAACTAGACAGAAGCATTCTCAGAAACTTCTTTGTGATGTTTGCATTCAAATACCAGAGTTGAACCTCCCTCTTCATAGAGCAGTTTTGAAATCCTCTTTTTGTAGAATCTGCAAGTGGATATTTGGACCACTTTGAGGCCTTCATAGGAAACAGTACTATCTTCACATAAAAACTAGATAGAAGCATTCTCAGAAACTTCTTTGTGATGTGTGAATTTAACTGAGAGAGTTGAACCTTGCTTTAATAGAGCAGTTTTGAAACACTCTTTTTGTAGAATCTGCAAGTAGATATTTGGAGCGCTTTGAGACCTTCGTTGGAAACCGGAATATCTTCACATAAAAAGTAGATAGAGGCATTCTCAGAAACTTTTTTGTTATATGTAGATTCAACTCACAGTGTTGAAGCTTTCTTTTGATAGAGCAGTTTTTAAGAACTCTTTTATCGAATCTGCAAGTAGACATTTGGAGTGCTTTGAGGGCTGTAGTCGAAAAGGAAATATCTTCACATAGAAACTAGACTGAAGCATTCTCAGCAACTTCTTTGTGACGTTTGCATTCATCTCACAGTGTTGAACATACCTTTTCATAGAGCAGTTTTGAAACACTATTTTTGTAGTATCTGCAAGTGGATATTTGGACTGCTTTGAGGCCTCATTGGAAACGGGAATATCTTCACATAAACACTAGACAGAAGCATTCTCTGAAACTTCTTTGTGATGTGTGTATTCAACTCACAGAGTTGAACCATCTTTTTTATGGAGCGGTTTTGAAACAGTGTTTTTGTAGAATCAGCAAGTGGATATTGGGAGCGCTTTGAGGCCTCTGGTGGAAAGGGAATGTCTTCACATAAAAACTGGACAGAAGCATTCTCAGAAACATCTTTGTGATGTTTGCATTCAACTCACAGAGTTGATCCTTCCTTTTAATAGGGCAGTTTTGCAACACTCTTTTTGTAGAATGCACCAGTGGGCTTTTGGAGCACGTCAAGGGCTATGGTGAAAAAGGAAATATCTTCTCATAAAAACTAGACTGAAGTATTCTGTAAAACTCCTTTGTGATGTTTGCATTCAACTCAGAAAGTTGAACTTCTCTTTATATAGTCCAGTTTTCAAACACTATTTTTGTAGCATCTGCAAGTGGATACTGGGACTGCTTTGAGGCCTTCGTTGGAAACGGGATTACCCGTCACATAGAAACTAGACTGAAGGATTCTTAGAAACTTCTTTGTGATGTGTGCATTCAACTCACCGAGTGGAACCTCACTTTTGATAGAGCAGTGTTGAAAGACACTTGTTGTAGAATCTGCAGGTGGATATTTGGAGTGCTTTGAAACCTTCCTTGGAAACGGGAATATCTTCACATAAAAACTAGACATAAGCATTCTCAGAAACTTCTTTGTGATCTGTCCATTCAGCTCACAGAGTTGAACCTTCCTTTTGATAGAGCAGTTTTGAAACACTCTTTCTGTAGAGTCTGCAAGTGGATATCAGGAGCGCTTTGAGGCCTATGGTAGAAAAAGAAATATCTGCATATAAAAACTAGACAGAAGCATTCTGAGAAACTTCTTTGTGATGTTTGCATTCAACTACCAGAGTTGAACCTTCCTTTTGATAGAGCAGTTTTGAAACACTCTTTGTGTAGAATCTGCATGTGGATATCAGGAGCGCTTTGAGGCCTATGGCAGAAAAAGAAATATCTGGCTCTAAAAACTAGACAGAAGCATTCTCAGCAAACTACTTTGAGATATGTGCATTCAACTCACAGAGTTGAAACTTTTTTTTGATAGAGCAGTTTTGAAACACTCTGTAGAATCTGAAAGTGGATATTTGGAGCTATTTGAGGGCTATGGTGGAAAAGAAAATATATTCCCATTAAACTAGACAGAAGCATCCTCAGAAACTTCTTTATGATGTTTGCATTAAACTCACAGAGTTGAACATACCTTTCCATAGAGCAGTTTTGAAACACTCTTTTTGGGGAATCCGCAAGTGGATATTTGGACCGCTTTGAGACCTTTGCTGGAAATGGGAATATCTTCACATATAAAGTAGACAGAACCATTCTCAGAAACTGCTACGTGATGTGTGCATTCAACTCACAGAGTTGAACCTTCCTTTTCATAAAGCAGTTTTGAAACACTCCTTTTGTACAATCTACAATTGGATATTTGGAACGCTTTGATGCCCGTGGTAGAAAAGGAAATCTCCTCATATAAAAACTAGACAGAAGGATTCACAGAAACTGCTGTGTGATGTGTGCATCCAAATCACGGAGTTGAACTTTTCTTTTGTTAGAGCAGTTTTGAAACCCCGTTTCCGTGGAATCTGCCAGTGGACATTTGGAGCGCATTGAGGGCTATGGTGGAGAAGGAAATATCTTCACATAAAAACTAGAAAGGAAGCATTCTCAGAAACATCTATGTGAAGTATGCATTCAACTCACAGAGTTGAACCTTCCTTTTGATAGAAGAGTTTTGAAACACTCTTTTGTACAATTGCAGGTGAATATTTGGAGCGCTTTGAAGCCTTTGTTGGAAATGGGAATATCCTCACATTAAAAACTAGCCAGAAACATTCTCAGAAACTTCTTTGTGATGTGTGCATTGAACCCAGAGAGATGAACCGTTCCTTTGAGAGAGCAGTTTTGAAACGTGTTTTTGTAAGATCTGCAAGTGGATATTTGGGGCGCTTTGAGTCCTTAGGTGGAAACGGGAATATCTTCGAATAAAAACTAGACAGAATTATTCTCAGAATCTTCTTTGTGATGTGGGCATTCAACTAACACAGTTGAACATTTCTTTTGACAGAGCAGTTCTGAAACACTCTTTTTGTAGAATCCGCCAGTGGATATTTGGAGCGCTTTGAGGGCTATTGTGCAAATGGAAATATCTTCAACTAAAAACTAGACCGAAGCATTCTCAGAAACTGCTTTGTGATGTTTGCATTCAACTCACAGAGTTGAACCTACCTCTTCATAGAGCAGTTTGGAAAACCTCTTCTTGTAGAATCTGCAAGTGGATATTCGGACCACTTTGAGGCCTTCATAGGAAACAGTAATATCTTCACATAAAAACTAGATAGAAGCATTCTCGGAAACTTCTTAGTGATGTGTGAATTCAACTCACAGAGTTGAACCTTCGTTAAATAGAGCAGTTTTGAAACACTCTTTTTGTGGAATCTGCAATAGATATTTGGAGCGCTTTGAGGCCTTCGTTGGAAACCGGAATGTCTTCACATAAAAAGTAGATAGAGGCATTCTCAGAAACTTTTTTGTGATATGTAGATTCAACTCACAGTGTTGAACCTTTCTTTTGATTGAGCTGTTTTGAAAAACTCTTTTATCGAATCTGTAAGTAGACATTTGGAGTGCTTTGAGGGCTGTGGTCGAAAAGGAAATATCTTCCCATAGAAACTAGACTGAAGCATTCTCAGCAACTTCTTGGTGACGTTTGCATTCATCTCACAGTGTTGAACATACCTTTTCATAGAGCAGTTTTGAAACACTATTTTTGTAGTATCTGCAAGTGGATATTTGGACTGCTTTGAGGCCTTCATTGGAAACGGGAATATCTTCACATAAACACTAGACAGAAGCATTCTCTGAAACTTCTTTGTGATGTGTGTATTCAACTCACAGAGATGAACCATCTTTTTTATGGAGCGGTTTTGAAACAGTGTTTTTGTAGAATCAGCAAGTGGATATTGGGAGCGCTTTGAGGCCTCTGGTGGAAAGGGAATGTCTTCACATAAAAACTGGACAGAAGCATTCTCAGCAACATCTTTGTGATGTTTGCATTCAACTCACAGAGTTGATCCTTCCTTTTAATAGGGCAGTTTTGCAACACTCTTTTTGTAGAATGCACCAGTGGGCTTTTGGAGCACGTCAAGGGCTATGGTGAAAAAGGAAATATCTTCACATAAAAACTAGACAGAAGTATTGTGTAAAACTCCTTTGTGATGTTTGCATTCAACTCAGAAAGTTGAACTTCTCTTTATATAGTCCAGTTTTCAAACACTATTTTTGTAGAATCTGCAAGTGGATACTGGGACTGCTTTGAGGCCTTCATTGGAAACGGGATTATCTTCACATAAAAACTAGACTGAAGGATTCTTAGAAACTTCTTTGTGATGTGTGCATTCAACTCACCGAGTGGAACCTCACTTTTGATAGAGCAGTGTTGAAAGACACTTGTTGTAGAATCTGCAGGTGGATATTTGGAGTGCTTTGAAGCCTTCCTTGGAAACGGGAATATCTTCACATAAAAACTAGACATAAGCATTCTCAGAAACTTCTTTGTGATCTGTCCATTCAACTCACAGAGTTGAACCTTCGTTCATATGGAGCCGTTTTGAACCACTGTTTTTGTAGAATCTGCAAGTGGATATTTGGAGCGCTTTGAGGCCTATGGTAGAAAAGGAAATATCTGCCTCTAAAAACTAGACAGAAGCATTCTCAGAAACTTGTTTGTGATGTTTGCCTTCAACTTCCAGAGTTGAACCTTCCTTTTGATAGAGCAGTTTTGAAACACTCTTTTTGTAGAATCTGCATGTGGATATCTGGAGCGATTTTTGAGGCCTATGGTCAAAAAGGAAATATCTTCCTATGAAAAATAGACAAAAGCATTCTCAGAAACTACTTTGAGATATGTGCATTTAACCCACAGAGTTGAAACTTTTTTTTGATAGAGCAGTTTTGAAACACTCTGTAAAATCTGAAAGTGGATATTTGGAGCTATTTGAGGGCTATGGTGGAAAAGAAAATATATTCCCATTAAACTAGACAGAAGCATCCTCAGAAACTTCTTTGTGATGTTTGCATTAAACTCACAGAGTTGAACATACCTTTCCATAGAGCAGTTTTGAAACACTCTTTTTGGGGAATCCGCAAGTGGATATTTGGACCGCTTTGAGACCTTTGCTGGAAATGGGAATATCTTCACATATAAACTAGACAGAAGCATTCTCGGAAACTTCTTTGTGATGTGTGCATTCTGCTCCCAAAGTTGAACCTTCCTCTTCATAAAGCAGTTTTGAAACACTCTTTTGTACAATCTACCATTGGATATGTGGAAGGCTTTGATGCCCATGGTAGAAAAGGAAACATCCTCATATAAAATCTAGACAGAAGGATTCACAGAAACTGCTGTGTGATGTGTGCATCCAAATCACGGAGTTGAACGTTTCTTTTGTTAGAGCAGTTTTGAAACCCTGTTTCCGTGGAATCTGCCAGTGGACATTTGGAGCGCATTGAGGGCTATGGTGGAGAAGGAAATATCTTCACATAAAAACTAGAAAGAAGCATTCTCAGAAACATCTATGTGAAGTGTGCATTCAACTCACAGAGTTGAACCTTCCTTTTGATAGAAGAGTTTTGAAACACTCTTTTGTACAATTGCAGGTGAATATTTGGAGCGCTTAGAAGCCTTTGTTGGAAATGGGAATATCCTCACATAAAAACTAGCCAGAAGCATTCTCAGAAACTTCTTTGTGATGTGTGCATTGAACCCAGAGAGATGAACCGTTCCTTTGAGAGAGCAGTTTTGAAACGTGTTCTTGTAAGATCTGCAAGTGGATATTTGGGGCGCTTTGAGCCCTTAGGTGTAAACGGGAATATCTTCGAATAAAAACTAGACAGAATTATTCTCAGAATCTTCTTTGTGATGTGGGCATTCAACTAACACAGTTGAACATGTCTTTTGACAGAGCAGTTCTGAAACACTCTTTTTGTAGAATCCGCCAGTGGATATTTGGAGCGCTTTGAGGGCTATTGTGCAAATGGAAATATCTTCACCTAAAAACTAGACCGAAGCAATCCCAGAAACTACTTTGTGATGTTTGCATTCAACTCACAGAGTTGAACCTACCTCTTCATAGAGCAGTTTGGAAAACCTCTTTTTATAGAATCTGCAAGTGGATATTTGGACCACTTTGAGGCCTTCATAGGAAACAGTACTATCTTCACATAAAAACTAGGTAGAAGCATTCTCAGAAACTTCTTTGTGATGTGTGAATTCAACTCACAGAGTTGAACCTTCCTTTAATAGAGCAGTTTTGAAACACTCTTTTTGTAGAATCTGCCAGTAGATATTTGGAGCGCTTTGAGGCCTTCGTTGGAAACCGGAATATCTTCACATAAAAAGTAGATAGAGGCATTCTCAGAAACTTTTTTGTGATATGTAGATTCAACTGACAGCGTTGAACCTTTCTTTTGATAGAGCAGTTTTGAAAAACTCTTTTCTCGAATCTGCAAGTAGACATTTGGAGTGCTGTGAGGGCTGTGGTCCAAAAGGAAATGTCTTCACAAAGAAACCAGACTGAAGCATTCTCAGCAACTTCTTTGTGACGTTTGCATTCATCTCACAGTGTTGAACATACCTTTTCATAGAGCAGTTTTGAGACACTATTTTTGTAGTATCTGCAAGTGGATATTTGGACTGCTTTGAGGCCTTCATTGGAAATGGGAATATCTTCACATAAACACTAGACAGAAGCATTCTCTGAAACTTCTTTGTGATGTGTGTATTCAACTCACAGAGTTGAACCATCTTTTTTATGGAGCGGTTTTGAAACAGTGTTTTTGTAGAATCAGCAATTGGATATTGGGAGCGCTTTGAGGCCTCTGGTGGAAAGGGAATGTCTTCACATAAAAACTGGACAGAAGTATTCTCAGAAACATCTTTGTGATGTTTGCATTCAACTCACAGAGTTGATCCTTCCTTTCAATAGGGCAGTTTTGCAACACTCTTTTTGTAGAATGCACCAGTGGGCTTTTGGAGCACGTCAAGGGCTATGGTGAAAAAGGAAATATCTTCACATAAAAATTAGACAGAAGTATTCTGTAAAACTCCTTTGTGATGTTTGCATTCAACTCAGAAAGTTGAACTTCTCTTTATATAGTCCAGTTTTCAAACACTATTTTTGTAGAATCTGCAAGTGGATACTGGGACTGCTTTGAGGCCTTCATTGGAAACGGGATTATCTTCACATAAAAACTAGACTGAAGGATTCTTAGAAACTTCTTTGTGATGTGTGCCTTCAACTCACCGAGTGGAACCTCACTTTTGATAGAGCAGAGTTGAAAGACACTTGTTGTAGAATCTGCAGGTGGATATTTGGAGTGTTTTGAAGCCTTCCTTGGAAACGGGAATATCTTCACATAAAAACTAGACATAAGCATTCTCAGAAACTCCTTTGTGATCTGTCCATTCAGCTCACAGAGTTGAACCTTCCTTTTGATAGAGCAGTTTTGAAACACTCTTTCTGTAGAGTCTGCAAGTGGATATCAGGAGCGCTTTGTCGCCTATGGCAGAAAAAGAAATATCTGGCTCTAAAAACTAGACAGAAGCATTCTGAGAAACTTCTTTGTGATGTTTGCATTCAACTACCAGAGTTGAACCTTCCTTTTGATAGAGCAGTTTTGAAACACTCTTTGTGTAGGATCTGCATGTGGATATCAGGAGCGCTTTGAGGCCTATGGCAGAAAAAGAAATATCTGGCTCTAAAAACTAGACAGAAGCATTCTCAGAAACTACTTTGTGTTATGTGCATTCAACTCACAGAGTTGAACCTTTTTTTTGATAGAGCCGTTTTGAAACACTCTGTAGAAACTGAAAGTGGATATTTGGAGCTATTTGAGGGCTATGGTGGAAAAGAAAATATATTCACATTAAACTAGACAGAAGCATTCTCAGAAACTTCTTTATGATGTTTGCATTAAACTCACAGAGTTGAACATACCTTTCCATAGAGCAGTTTTGAAACACTCTTTTTGTGGAATCCGCAAGTGGATATTTGGACCGCTTTGAGACCTTCGCTGGAAATGGGAATATCTTCACATACAAATTAGACAGAAGCATTCTCGGAAACTTCTTCGTGATGTGTGCATTCTGCTCCCAAAGTTGAACCTTCCTCTTCATAAAGCAGTTTTGAAACACTCTTTTGTACAATCTACCATTGGATATGGGGAAGGCTTTGATGCCCATGGTAGAAAAGGAAACATCCTCATATAAAATCTAGACAGAAGGATTCACAGAAACTGCTGTGTGATGTGTGCATCGAAATCACGGAGTTGAACTTTTCTTTTGTTAGAGCAGTTTTGAAACCCTGTTTCCGTGGAATCTGCCAGTGGACATTTGGAGCACATTGAGGGCTATGGTGGAGAAGGAAATATCTTCACATAAAAACTAGAAAGAAGCATTCTCAGAAACATCTATGTGAAGTGTGCATTCAACTCACAGAGTTGAACCTTCCTTTTGATATAAGAGTTTTGAAACACTCTTTTGTACAATTGCAGGTGAATATTTGGAGCGCTTTGAAGCCTTTGTTGGAAATGGGAATATCCTCACATAAAAACTAGCCAGAAGCATTCTCAGAAACTTCTTTGTGATGTGTGCATTGAACCCAGAGAGATGAACCGTTCCTTTGAGAGAGCAGTTTTGAAACGTGTTCTTGTAAGATCTGCAAGTGGATATTTGGGGCGCTTTGAGCCGTTAGGTGTAAACGGGAATATCTTCGAATAAAAACTAGACAGAATTATCTCAGAACCTTCTTTGTGATGTGGGCATTCAACTAACACAGTTGAACATTTCTTTTGACAGAGCAGTTCTGAAACACTCTTTTTGTAGAATCCGCCAGTGGATATTTGGAGCGCTTTGAGGGCTATTGTGCAAATGGAAATATCTTCACCTAAAAACTAGACCGAAGCAATCCCAGAAACTACTTTGTGATGTTTGCATTCAACTCACAGAGTTGAACCTACCTCTTCATAGAGCAGTTTGGAAAACCTCTTTTTGTAGAATCTGCAAGTGGATATTCGGACCACTTTGAGGCCTTCATAGGAAACAGTACTATCTTCACATAAAAACTAGGTAGAAGCATTCTCAGAAAATTCTTTGTGATGTGTGAATTCAACTCACAGAGTTGAACCTTCCTTTAATAGAGCAGTTTTGAAACACTCTTTTTGTAGAATCTGCAAGTAGATATTTGGAGCGCTTTGAGGCCTTCGTTGGAAACCGGAATATCTTCACATAAAAAGTAGATAGAGGCATTCTCAGAAAGTTTTTTGTGATATGTAGATTCAACTCACAGCGCTGAACCTTTCTTTTGATAGAGCAGTTTTGAAAAACTCTTTTATCGAATCTGCAAGTAGACATTTGGAGTGCTTTGAGGGCTGTGGTCGAAAAGGAAATATCTTCACATAGAAACTAGACTGAAGCATTCTCAGCAACATCTTTGTGATGTTTGCATTCATCTCACAGTGTTGAACATACCTTTTCATAGAGCAGTTTTGAAACACTATTTTTGTAGTATCTGCAAGTGGATATTTGGACTGCTTTGAGGCCTTCATTGGAAACGGGAATATCTTCACATAAACACTAGACAGAAGCATTCTCTGAAACTTCTTTGTGATGTGTGTATTCAACTCACAGAGTTGAACCATCTTTTTTATGGAGCGGTTTTGAAACAGTTTTTGTAGAATCAGCAATTGGATATTTGGAGTGCTTTGAGGCCTCTGGTGGAAAGGGAATGTCTTCACATAAAAACTGGACAGAAGCATTCTCAGAAACATCTTTGTGATGTTTGCATTCAACTCACAGAGTTGATCCTTCCTTTTAATAGGGCAGTTTTGCAACACTCTTTTTGTAGAATGCACCAGTGGGCTTTTGGGGCACGTCAAGGGCTATGGTGAAAAAGGAAATATCTTCACATAAAAACTAGACAGAAGTATTGTGTAAAACTCCTTTGTGATGTTTGCATTCAACTCAGAAAGTTGAACTTCTCTTTATATAGTCCAGTTTTCAAACACTATTTTTGTAGAATCTGCAAGTGGATACTGGGACTGCTTTGAGGCTATCGTTGGAAACAGGATTATCTTCACATAAAAACTAGACTGAAGCATTCTCAGCAACTTCTTTGTGACGTTTGAATTCATCTCACAGTGATGAACATACCTTTTCATAGAGCAGTTTTGAAACACTATTTTTGTAGAATCTGCAATTGGATATTTGGACTGCGTTGAGCCCCTCACTGGAAACGGGAATATCTTCACATAAAAACTAGACAGATGTATTCTCAGAAACTTCCTTGTGATCTGTCCATTAAACTCACAGAGTTGAACCTTCCGTTTTATGGAGCCGTTTTGAAACACTGTTTTTGTAGAATCTGCAAGTGGATATTTGGAGCGCTTTGAGGCCTAAGGTAGAAAAAGAAATATCTGCATATAAAAACTAGACAGAAGCATTCTGAGAAACTTCTTTGTGATGTTTGCATTCAACTACCAGAGTTGAACCTTCCTTTTGATAGAGCAGTTTCGAAACACTCTTTTTGTAGAATCTGCATGTGGATATCTGGAGCGATTTGAGGCCTATGGTCAAAAAGGAAATATCTTCCTATGAAAAACAGACAAAAACATTCTCAGAAACTACTTTGTGTTATGTGCATTCAACTCACAGAGTAGAACCTTTTTTTTGATATAGCCGTTTTGAAACGCTCTGTAGAAACTGAAAGTGGATATTTGGAGCTATTTGAGGGCTATGGTGGAAAAGAAAATATATTCACATTAAACTAGACAGAAGCATCCTCAGAAACTTCTTTATGATGTTTGCATTAAACTCACAGAGTTGAACATACCTTTCCATAGAGCAGTTTTGAAACACTGTTTTTGGGGAATCCGCAAGTGGATATTTGGACCGCTTTGAGACCTTTGCTGGAAATGGGAATATCTTCACATATAAACTAGACAGAAGCATTTTCGGAAACTTCTTCCTGATGTGTGCATTCTGCTCCCAAAGTTGAACCTTCCTCTTCATAAAGCAGTTTTGAAACACTCTTTTGTACAATCTACCATTGGATATGTGGAAGGCTTTGATGCCCATGGTAGAAAAGGATACATCCTCATATAAAATCTAGACAGAAGGATTCACAGAAACTGCTGTGTGATGTGTGCATCCAAATCACGGAGTTGAACTTTTCTTTTGTTAGAGCAGTTTTGAAACCCTGTTTCCGTGGAATCTGCCAGTGGACATTTGGAGCGCATTGAGGGCTATGGTGGAGAAGGAAATATCTTCACATAAAAACTAGAAAGAAGCATTCTCAGAAACACCTATGTGAAGTGTGCATTCAACTCACAGAGTTGAACCGTTCTTTTGATAGAAGAGTTTTGAAACACTCTTTTGTACAATTGCAGGTGAATATTTGGAGCGCTTTGAAGCATTTGTTGGAAATGGGAATATCCTCACATAAAAACTAGCCAGAAACATTCTCAGAAACTTCTTTGTGATGTGTGCATTGAACCCAGAGAGATGAACCGTTCCCTTGAGAGAGCAGTTTTGAAACGTGTTTTTGTAAGATCTGCAAGTGGATATTTGGGGCGCTTTGAGTCCTTAGGTGGAAACGGGAATATCTTCGAATAAAAACTAGACAGAATTATTCTCAGAATCTTCTTTGTGATGTGGGCATTCAACTAACACAGTTGAACATTTCTTTTGACAGAGCAGTTCTGAAACACTCTTTTTGTAGAATCCGCCAGTGGATATTTGGAGCGCTTTGAGGGCTATTGTGCAAATGGAAATATCTTCACCTAAAAACTAGACCGAAGCAATCCCAGAAACTACTTTGTGATGTTTGCATTCAACTCACAGAGTTGAACCTACCTCTTCATAGAGCAGTTTGGAAAACCTCTTTTTGTAGAATCTGCAAGTGGATATTTGGACCACATTGAGGCCTTCATAGGAAACAGTACTATCTTCACATAAAAACTAGGTAGAAGAATTCTCAGAAAGTTCTTTGTGATGTGTGAATTCAACTCACAGAGTTGAACCTTCCTTTAATAGAGCAGTTTTGAAACACTCTTTTTGTAGAATCTGCCAGTAGATATTTGGAGCGCTTTGAGGCCTTCGTTGGAAACCGGAATATCTTCACATAAAAAGTAGATAGAGGCATTCTCAGAAACTTTTTTGTGATATGTAGATTCAACTCACAGCGCTGAACCTTTCTTTTGATAGAGCAGTTTTGAAAAACTCTTTTATCGAACCTGCAAGCAGACATTTGGAGTGCTTTGAGGGCTGTGGTCGAAAAGGAAATATCTTCACATAGAAACTAGACAGAAGCATTCTCAGCAACTTCTTTGTGACGTTTGCATTCATCTCACAGTGTTGAACATACCTTTTCATAGAGCAGTTTTGAAACACTATTTTTGTAGTATCTGCAAGTGGATATTTGGACTGCTTTGAGGCCTTCATTGGAAACGGGAATATCTTCACATATACTCTAGACAGAAGCATTCTCTGAAACTTCTTTGTGATGTGTGTATTCAACTCACAGAGTTGAACCATCTTTTTTATGGAGCGGTTTTGAAACAGTGTTTTTGTAGAATCAGCAAGTGGATATTTGGAGCGCTTTGAGGCCTCTGGTGGAAAGAGAATGTCCTCTCATAAAAACTGGACAGAAGCATTCTCAGAAACATCTTTGTGATGTTTGCATTCAACTCACAGAGTTGATCCTTCCTTTTAATAGGGCAGTTTTGCAACACTCTTTTTGTAGAATGCACCAGTGGGCTTTTGGAGCACGTCAAGGGCTTTGGTGAAAAAGGAAATATCTTCACATAAAAACTAGACAGAAGTATTCTGTAAAACTCCTTTGTGATGTTTGCATTCAACTCAGAAAGTTGAACTTCTCTTTATATAGTCCAGTTTTCAAACACTATTTTTGTAGAATCTGCAAGTGGATACTGGGACTGCTTTGAGGCCTTCGTTGGAAACGGGATTATCTTCACATAGAAACTAGACTGAAGGATTCTTAGAAACTTCTTTGTGATGTGTGCCTTCAACTCACCGAGCGGAACCTCACTTTTGATAGAGCAGAGTTGAAAGACACTTGTTGTAGAATCTGCAGGTGGATATTTGGAGTGTTTTGAAGCCTTCCTTGGAAACGGGAATATCTTCACATAAAAACTAGACATAAGCATTCTCAGAAACCCCTTTGTGATCTGTCCATTCAGCTCACAGAGTTGAACCTTCCTTTTGATAGAGCAGTTTTGAAACACTCTTTCTGTAGAGTCTGCAAGTGGATATCAGGAGCGCTTTGAGGCCTATGGTAGAAAAAGAAATATCTGCATATAAAAACTAGACAGAAGCATTCTGAGAAACTTCTTTGTGATGTTTGCATTCAACTACCAGAGTTGAACCTTCCTTTTGATAGAGCAGTTTTGAAACACTCTTTTTGTAGAATCTGCATGTGGATATCTGGAGCGATTTGAGGCCTATGGTCAAAAAGGAAATATCTTCCTATGAAAAACAGACAAAAGAATTCTCAGAAACTACTTAGAGATATGTGCATTCAACTCACAGAGTTGAAACTTTTTTTTGATAGAGCAGTTTTGAAACACTCTGTAGAATCTGAAAGTGGATATTTGGAGCTATTTGAGGGCTATGGTGGAAAAGAAAATATATTCCCATTAAACTAGACAGAAGCATCCTCAGAAACTTCTTTATGATGTTTGCATTAAACTCACAGAGTTGAACATACCTTTCCATAGAGCAGTTTTGAAACACTCTTTTTGGGGAATCCGCAAGTGGATATTTGGACTGCTTTGAGACCTTTGCTGGAAAAGGGAATATCTTCACATATAAACTAGACAGAAGCATTCTCAGAAACTTCTTCGTGATGTGTGCATTCTACTCCCAAATTTGAATCTTCCTTTTCATGAAGCAGTTTTGAAACACTCTATTTGTGCATTCTACAATTGGATGATTGGAACGCTTTGATGCCCATGGTAGAAAAGGAAATATCCTCATATAAAAACTAGACAGAAGGATTCACAGAAACTGCTTTGTGATGTGTGCATTCAAATCACGGAGTTGGACCTTTCTTTTGTTAGAGCAGTTTTGAAACACTGTTTCTGTGGAATCTGCCAGTGGACATTTGGAGCGCATTGAGGGCTATGGTGGAGAAGGAAATATCTTCACAGAAAAACTAGAAAGAAGCATTCTCAGAAACATTTATGTGAAGCGTGCATTCAACTCACAGAGTTGAACCTTCCTTTTGATAGAACAGTTTTGAAACACTCTTTTGAACAATTGCAGGTGAATCTTTGGAGCGCTTTGAAGCCTTTGTTGGAAATGGGAATATCTTCACACACAAACTAGCCAGAAGTACTCTCAGAAACTTCTTTGTGATGTGTGCATTGAACCCAGAGAGATGAACCGTTCCTTTGAGAGAGCAGTTTTGAAACGTGTTTTTGTAAGATCTGCAAGTGGATATTTGGGGCGCTTTGAGCCCTTAGGTGGAAACGGGAATATCTTCGAATAAAAACTAGACAGAATTATTCTCAGCAATCTTCTTTGTGATGTGGGCATTCAACTAACACAGTTGAACATTTCTTTTGACAGAGCAGTTCTGAAACACTCTTTTTGTAGAATCCGCCAGTGGATATTTGGAGCGCTTTGAGGGCTATTGTGCAAACGGAAATATCTTCACCTAAAAACTAGACCGAAGCATTCTCAGAAACTACTTTGTGATGTTTGCATTCAACTCACATAGTTGAACATACCTCTTCATAGAGCAGGTTTGAAAACTTCTTTTTGTATTATCTGCAAGTGGATATTTGGACCACTTTGAGGCCTTCATAGGAAACAGTAATATATTCTCATAAAAACTCGATAGAAGCATTCTCAGAAACTTCTTTGTGATGGGTGAATTCAACTCACAGTGTTGAACCTTCCTTTAATAGAGCAGTTTTGAAACACTCTTTTTGTAGAATCTGCCAGTAGATATTTGGAGCGCTTTGAGGCCTTCGTTGGAAACCGGAATATCTTCACATAAAAAGTAGATAGAGGCATTCTCAGAAACTTTTTTGTGATATGTAGATTCAACTCACAGCGCTGAACCTTTCTTTTGATAGAGCAGTTTTGAAAAACTATTTTATCGAATCTGCAAGTAGACATTTGGAGTGCTTTGAGGGCTGTGGTCGAAAAGGAAATATCTTCACATAGAAACTAGACTGAAGCATTCTCAGCAACTTCTTTGTGACGTTTGAATTCATCTCACAGTGTTGAACATACCTTTTCATAGAACAGTTTTGAAACACTATTTTTGTAGAATCTGCAATTGGATATTTGGACTGCGTTGAGCCCCTCACTGGAAACGGGAATATCTTCACATAAAAACTAGACAGAAGCATTCTCTGAAACTTCTTTGTGATGTGTGTATTCATCTCACAGAGTTGAACCATCTTTTTTATGGAGCGGTTTTGAAACAGTGTTTTTGTAGAATCAGCAATTGGATATTTGGAGCGCTTTGAGGCCTCTGGTGGAAAGGGAATGTCTTCACATAAAAACTGGACAGAAGCATTCTCAGAAACATCTTTGTGATGTTTGCATTCAACTCACAGAGTTGATCCTTCCTTTTAATAGGGCAGTTTTGCAACACTCTTTTTGTAGAATGCACCAGTGGGCTTTTGGAGCACGTCAAGGGCTATGGTGAAAAAGGAAATATCTTCACATAAAAACTAGACAGAAGTATTCTGTAAAACTCCTTTGTGAAGTTTGCATTCAACTCAGAAAGTTGAACTTCTCTTTATATAGTCCAGTTTTCAAACACTATTTTTGTAGAATCTGCAAGTGGATACTGGGACTGCTTTGAGGCCTTCGTTGGAAACGGGATTATCTTCACATAAAAACTAGACTGAAGCATTCTCAGCAACTTCTTTGTGACGTTTGCATTCATCTCACAATGTTGAACATACTTTTTCATAGAGCAGTATTGAAACACTCTTTTTGTAAAATCTGCATTTGGATATTTGGACTGCGTTGAGGCCTTCACTGGAAACGGGAATTTCTTCACATAAACACTAGACAGAAGCATTCTCAGAAACTTCTTTGTGATCTGTCCATTCAACTCACAGAGTTGAACCTTCGTTCATATGGAGCCGTTTTGAACCACTGTTTTTGTAGAATCTGCAAGTGGATATTTGGAGCGCTTTGAGGCCTATGGTAGAAAAGGAAATATGTGCCTCTAAAAACTAGACAGAAGCATTCTGAGAAACTTCTTTGTGATGTTTGCATTCAACTACCAGAGTTGAACCTTCCTTTTTGATAGAGCAGTTTTGAAACACTCTTTTTGTAGAATCTGCATGTGGATATCTGGAGCGATTTGAGGCCTATGGTCAAAAAGGAAATATCTTCCTATGAAAAACAGACAAAATCAATCTGAGGAACTTCTTTGTGATGTGTGCATTCGTCCCACAGAGTTAAACCTTTCTTTTGATTGAGAAGTTTTGAGACTCTTTTTGTAGTACCTGGAAGTGGACATTTCGAAGGCCTTGAGGCCTATGGTGGAAAAGGAAATATCTTCTCATAAAAACTAGACTGAAGCATCCTCAGAAACTTCTTTATGATGTTTGCATTAAACTCACAGAGTTGAACATACCTTTCCATAGAGCAGTTTTGAAACACTCTTTTTGGGGAATCCGCAGGTGGATATTTGGACCGCTTTGAGACCTTTGCTGGAAACGGGAATATCTTCACATATAAACTAGACAGAAGCATTCTCGGAAACTTCTTCATGATGTCTGCATTCTGCTCCCAAAGTTGAACCTTCCTTTTCATAAAGCAGTTTTGAAACACTCTTTTGTACAATCTACCATTGGATATGTGGAAGGCTTTGATGCCCATGGTAGAAAAGGAAACATCCTCATATAAAATCTAGACAGAAGGATTCACAGAAACTGCTGTGTGATGTGTGCATCCAAATCACGGAGTTGAACTTTTCTTTTGTTAGAGCAGTTTTGAAACCCTGTTTCCGTGGAATCTGCCAGTGGACATTTGGAGCGCATTGAGGGCTATGGTGGAGAAGGAAATATCTTCACATAAAAACTAGAAAGAAGCATTCTCAGAAACATCTATGTGAAGTGTGCATTCAACTCACAGAGTTGAACCTTCCTTTTGATAGAAGAGTTTTGAAACACTCTTTTGTACAATTGCAGGTGAATATTTGGAGCGCTGTGAAGCCTTTGTTGGAAATGGGAATATCCTCACATAAAAACTAGCCAGAAGCATTCTCAGAAACTTCTTTGTGATGTGTGCATTGAACCCAGAGAGATGAACCGTTCCTTTGAGAGAGCAGTTTTGAAACGTGTTTTTGTAAGATCTGCAAGTGGATATTTGGGGCGCTTTGAGTCCTTAGGTGGAAACGGGAATATCTTCGAATAAAAACTAGACAGAATTATTCTCAGAATCTTCTTTGTGATTTGGGCATTCAACTAACACAGTTGAACATGTCTTTTGACAGAGCAGTTCTGAAACACTCTTTTTGTAGAATCCGCCAGTGGATATTTGGAGCGCTTTGAGGGGTATTGTGCAAATGGAAATATCTTCACCTAAAAACTAGACCGAAGCAATCCCAGAAACTACTTTGTGATGTTTGCATTCAACTCACAGAGTTGAACCTACCTCTTCATAGAGCAGTTTGGAAAACCTCTTTTTGTAGAATCTGCAAGTGGATATTTGGACCACTTTGAGGCCTTCATAGGAAACAGTACTATCTTCACATAAAAACTAGGTAGAAGCATTCTCAGAAACTTCTTTGTGATGTGTGAATTCAACTCACAGAGTTGAACCTTCCTTTAATAGAGCAGTTTTGAAACACTCTTTTTGTAGAATCTGCAAGTAGATATTTGGAGCGCTTAGAGGCCTTCGTTGGAAACCGGAATATCTTCACATAGAAAGTAGATAGAGGCATTCTCAGAAACTTTTTTGTGATATGTAGATTCAACTCACAGCGTTGAACCTTTCTTTTGATAGAGCAGTTTTGAAAAACTCTTTTATCGAATCTGCAAGTAGACATTTGGAGTGCTTTGAGGGCTGTGGTCGAAAAGGAAATATCTTCACATAGAAACTAGACTGAAGCATTCTCAGCAACTTCTTTGTGACGTTTGCACTCATCTCACAATGTTGAACATACTTTTTCATAGAGCAGTATTGAAACACTCTTTTTGTAAAATCTGCATTTGGATATTTGGACTGCGTTGAGGCCTTCACTGGAAACGGGAATTTCTTCACATAAACACTAGACAGAAGCATTCTCTGAAACTTCTTTGTGATGTGTGTATTCAACTCACAGAGTTGAACCATCTTTTTTATGGAGCGGTTTTGAAACAGTGTTTTTGTAGAATCAGCAATTGGATATTTGGAGCGCTTTGAGGCCTCTGGTGGAAAGGGAATGTCTTCACATAAAAACTGGACAGAAGCATTCTCAGAAACATCTTTGTGATGTTTGCATTCAACTCACAGAGTTGATCCTTCCTTTTAATAGGGCAGTTTTGCAACACTCTTTTTGTAGAATGCACCAGTGGGCTTTTGGAGCACGTCAAGGGCTATGGTGAAAAAGGAAATATCTTCACATAAAAACTAGACCGAAGTATTCTGTAAAACTCCTTTGTGATGTTTGCATTCAACTCAGAAAGTTGAACTTCTCTTTATATAGTCCAGTTTTCAAACACTATTTTTGTAGCATCTGCAAGTGGATACT
This sequence comes from Homo sapiens, assembly GCF_000001405.40. NCBI lineage: Eukaryota > Metazoa > Chordata > Mammalia > Primates > Hominidae > Homo > Homo sapiens. The sequence goes on from NC_000019.10 coordinate 24,537,089, forward strand.
GGGACTGCTTTGAGGCCTTCGTTGGAAACGGGATTACCTTCACATAGAAACTAGACTGAAGGATTCTTAGAAACTTCTTTGTGATGTGTGCCTTCAACTCACCGAGTGGAACCTCACTTTTGATAGAGCAGAGTTGAAAGACACTTGTTGTAGAATCTGCAGGTGGATATTTGGAGTGCTTTGAAGCCTTCCTTGGAAACGGGAATATCTTCACATAAAAACTAGACATAAGCATTCTCAGAAACTCCTTTGTGATCTGTCCATTCAGCTCACAGAGTTGAACCTTCCTTTTGATAGAGCAGTTTTGAAACACTCTTTCTGTAGAGTCTGCAAGTGGATATCAGGAGCGCTTTGAGGCCTATGGTAGAAAAAGAAATATCTGCATATAAAAACTAGACAGAAGCATTCTCAGAAACTTCTTTGTGATGTTTGCATTCAACTACCAGAGTTGAACCTTCCTTTTGATAGAGCAGTTTTGAAACACTCTTTTTGTAGAATCTGCATGTGGATATCTGGAGCGATTTTTGAGTCCTATGGTCAAAAAGGAAATATCTTCCTATGAAAAATAGACAAAAGCATTCTCACAAAGTGCTTTGTGATATGTGCATTCGACTCACCGAGTTGAAACTTTTTTATGATAGAGCAGTTTTGAAACACTCTGTAGAATCTGAAAGTGGATATTTGGAGCTCTTCGAGGGCTATGGCGGAAAAGAAAATATATTCACATTAAACTAGACAGCAGCATTCTCAGAAACATCTTTAGGATGTTTGCAGTAAACTCACAGAGTTGAACATACCTTTCCGTAAAGCAGTTTTGAAACCCTCTGTTTGTGGGATCTGCAAGTGGATATTTGGACCGCTTTGAGACCTTTGCTGGAAATGGGAATATCTTCACATATAAACTAGACAGAAGCATTCTCGGAAACTTCTTCATGATGTGTGCATTCTGCTCCCAAAGTTGAACCTTCCTTTTCATAAAGCAGTTTTGAAACACTCTTTTGTACAATCTACCATTGGATATGTGGAAGGCTTTGATGCCCATGGTAGAAAAGGATACATCCTCATATGAAAATCTAGACAGAAGGATTCACAGAAACTGCTGTGTGATGTGTGCATCCAAATCACGGAGTTGAACTTTTCTTTTGTTAGAGCAGTTTTGAAACCCCGTTTCCGTGGAATCTGCCAGTGGACATTTGGAGCGCATTGAGGGCTATGGTGGAGAAGGAAATATCTTCACATAAAAACTAGAAAGAAGCATTCTCAGAAACATCTATGTGAAGTGTGCATTCAACTCACAGAGTTGAACCTTCCTTTTGATAGAAGAGTTTTGAAACACTCTTTTGTACAATTGCAGGTGAATATTTGGAGCGCTTTGAAGCCTTTGTTGGAAATGGGAATATCCTCACATAAAAACTAGCCAGAAGCATTCTCAGAAACTTCTTTGTGATGTGTGCATTGAACCCAGAGACATGAACCTTTCCTTTGATAGAGCAGTTTTGAAACGTGTTTCTGTAAGATCTGCAAGTGGATATTTGGGGCGCTTTGAGTCCTTTGGTGGAAACGGGAATATCTTCTAATAAAAACTAGACAGTATTATTCTCAGAATCTTCTTTGTGATGTGGGCATTCAACTAACACAGTTGAACATGTCTTTTGACAGAGCAGTTCTGAAACACTCTTTTTGTAGAATCCGCCAGTGGATATTTGGAGCGCTTTGAGGGGTATTGTGCAAATGGAAATATCTTCACCTAAAAACTAGACCGAAGCAATCCCAGAAACTACTTTGTGATGTTTGCATTCAACTCACAGAGTTGAACCTACCTCTTCATAGAGCAGTTTGGAAAACCTCTTTTTGTAGAATCTGCAAGTGGATATTTGGACCACTTTGAGGCCTTCATAGGAAACAGTACTATCTTCACATAAAAACTAGGTAGAAGCATTCTCAGAAACTTCTTTGTGATGTGTGAATTCAACTCACAGAGTTGAACCTTCCTTTAATACAGCAGTTTTGAAACACTCTTTTTGTAGAATCTGCCAGTAGATATTTGGAGCGCTTTGAGGCCTTCGTTGGAAACCGGAATATCTTCACATAAAAAGTAGATAGAGGCATTCTAAGAAACATTTTTGTGATATGTAGATTCAACTCACAGCGTTGAACCTTTCTTTTGATAGAGCAGTTTTGAAAAACTCTTTTATCGAATCTGCAAGTAGACATTTGGAGTGCTTTGAGGGCTGTGGTCGAAAAGGAAATATCTTCACATAGAAACTAGACTGAAGCATTCTCAGCAACTTCTTTGTGACGTTTGCATTCATCTCACAGTGTTGAACATACCTTTTCATAGAGTAGTTTTGAAACACTATTTTTGTAGAATCTGCAAGTGGATATTTGGACTGCATTGAGGCCTTCATTGGAAACGGGAATGTCTTCACATAAACACTAGACAGAAGAATTCTGAGAAACTTCCTTCTGATGTGTGCGTTCATCTCACAGAGTCGAACAATTGTTTTGATTGAGCAGTTTGGAAACACTCTTTTTGTAGAATCTGCAAGTGGACATTTGGAGTGCTTTGTAGCCTACGGCAGAAAAGGTAATGTCTTCACATGAAATCTAGACAGAAGCATTCTCAGAAACATCTTTGTGATGTTGCATTCAACTCACAGAGTTGATCCTTCCTTTTAATAGGGCAGTTTTGCAACACTCTTTTTGTAGAATGCACCAGTGGGCTTTTGGAGCACGTCAAGGGCTATGGTGAAAAAGGAAATATCTTCACATAAAAACTAGACAGAAGTATTCTGTAAAACTCCTTTGTGATGTTTGCATTCAACTCAGAAAGTTGAACTTCTCTTTATATAGTCCAGTTTTCAAACACTATTTTTGTAGAATCTGCAAGTGGATACTGGGACTGCTTTGAGGCCTTCGTTGGAAACGGGATTATCTTCACATAAAAACTAGACTGAAGGATTCTTAGAAACTTCTTTGTGATGTGTGCATTCAACTCACCGAGTGGAACCTCACTTTTGATAGAGCAGTGTTGAAAGACACTTGTTGTAGAATCTGCAGGTGGATATTTGGAGTGCTTTGAAGCCTTCCTTGGAAACGGGAATATCTTCACATAAAAACTAGACATAAGCATTCTCAGAAACTCCTTTGTGATCTGTCCATTCAGCTCACAGAGTTGAACCTTCCTTTTGATAGAGCAGTTTTGAAACACTCTTTCTGTAGTGTCTGCAAGTGGATATCAGGAGCGCTTTGAGGCCTAGGCAGAAAAAGAAATATCTGTATATAAAAACTAGACAGAAGCATTCTGAGAAACTTCTTTGTGATGTTTGCATTCAACTACCAGAGTTGAACCTTCCTTTTTGATAGAGCAGTTTTGAAACACTCTTTGTGTAGAATCTGCATGTGGATATCTGGAGCAGATTTGAGGCCTATGGTCAAAAAGGAAATATCTTCCTATGAAAAACAGACAAAAGAAATCTGAGAAAATACTTTTTGATGTGTGTGTTCATCTCACAGACTTGAATCTTTTTTTTGATTGAGCAGTTTGGAAATACTCTGTTTTCTAGAATCTGCAAGTGGACATTTGGAACGCTTTGCGGCTTAAGGTAGAAAAGGAAATATCTTCAAATAAAATCTAGACAGAAGCATCCTCAGAAACTTCTTTATGATGTTTGCATTAAACTCACAGAGTTGAACATACCTTTCCATAGAGCAGTTTTGAAACACTCTTTTTGAGGAATCCGCAAGTGGATATTTGGACCGCTTTGAGACCTTTGCTGGAAATGGGAATATCTTCACATATAAACTAGACAGAAGCATTCTCGGAAACTTCTTCGTGATGTGTGCATTCTGCTCCCAAAGTTGAACCTTCCTCTTCATAAAGCAGTTTTGAAACACTCTTTTGTACAATCTACCATTGGATATGTGGAAGGCTTTGATGCCCATGGTGGAAAAGGAAACATCCTCATATAAAATCTAGACAGAAGGATTCACAGAAACTGCTGTGTGATGTGTGCATCCAAATCACGGAGTTGAACTTTTCTTTTGTTAGAGCAGTTTTGAAACCCTGTTTCCGTGGAATCTGCCAGTGGACATTTGGAGCACATTGAGGGCTATGGTGGAGAAGGAAATATCTTCACATAAAAACTAGAAAGAAGCATTCTGAGAAACATCTATGTGAAGTGTGCATTCAACTCACGGAGTTGAACCTTCCTTTTGATAGAACAGTTTTGAAACATTCTTTTGTACAATTTCAGGTGAATATTTGGAGCGCCTTTAAGCCTTTGTTGGAAATGGGAATATCTTCACATACAAACTAGCCAGAAGCACTCTCAGAAACTTCTTTGTGATGTGTGCATTGAACCCAGAGAGATGAACCGTTCCTTTGAGAGAGCAGTTTTGAAACGTGTTTTTGTAAGATCTGCAAGTGGATATTTGGGGCGTTTTGAGCCCTTAGGTGGAAACGGGAATATCTTCGAATAAAAACTAGACAGAAATATTCTCAGAATCTCCTTTGTGATGTGGGCATTCAACTAACACAGTTGAACATTTCTTTTCACAGAGCAGTTTTGAAACACTCTTTTGGTAGAATCTGCATGTGGATATTTGGAGCGCTTGGAGGGCTATTGTGCCAATGGAAATATCTGCCCCTGAAAACTAGACAGAAGCAATCCCAGAAACTACTTTGTGATGTTTGCATTCAACTCACAGAGTTGAACCTACCTCTTCATAGAGCAGTTTGGAAAACCTCTTTTTGTAGAATCTGCAAGTGGATATTTGGACCACTTTGAGGCCTTCATAGGAAACAGTACTATCTTCACATAAAAACTAGGTAGAAGCATTCTCAGAAACTTCTTTGTGATGTGTGAATTCAACTCACAGAGTTGAACCTTCCTTTAATAGAGCAGTTTTGAAACACTCTTTTTGTAGAATCTGCAAGTAGATATTTGGAGAGCTTTGAGGCCTTCGTTGGAAACTGGAATATCTTCACATAAAAAGTAGATAGAGGCATTCTCAGAAATTTTTCTGTGATATGTAGATTCAACTCACAGCGTTGAACCTTTCTTTTGATAGAGCAGTTTTGAAAAACTCTTTTATCGAATCTGCAAGTAGACATTTGGAGTGCTTTGAGGGCTGTGGTCGAAAAGGAAATATCTTCACATGGAAACTAGACTGAAGCATTCTCAGCAACTTCTTTGTGTCGTTTGCATTCATCTCACAGTGTTGAACATACCTTTTCATAGAGCAGTTTTGAAACACTCTTCTTGTAGAATCTGCAATTGGATATTTGGACTGCGTTGAGACCTCCACTGGAAACGGGAATATCTCCACATAAACACTAGATAGAAGCATTCTCTGAAACTTCTTTGTGATGTGTGTATTCAACTCACAGAGTTGAACCATCTTTTTTATGGAGCGGTTTTGAAACAGTGTTTTTTGTAGAATCAGCAATTGGATATTGGGAGCGCTTTGAGGCCTCTGGTGGAAAGGGAATGTCTTCACATAAAAACTGGACAGAAGCATTCTCAGAAACATCTTTGTGATGTTTGCATTCAACTCACAGAGTTGATCCTTCCTTTTAATAGGGCAGTTTTGCAACACTCTTTTTGTAGAATGCACCAGTGGGCTTTTGGAACACGTCAAGGGCTATGGTGAAAAAGGAAATATCTTCACATAAAAACTAGAGAGAAAGTATTGTGTAAAACTCCTTTGTGATGTTTGCATTCAACTCAGAAAGTTGAACTTCTCTTTATATAGTCCAGTTTTCAAACACTATTTTTGTAGAATCTGCAAGTGGATACTGGGACTGCTTTGAGGCCTTCATTGGAAACGGGATTATCTTCACATAAAAACTAGACTGAAGGATTCTTAGAAACTTCTTTGTGATGTGTGCATTCAACTCACCGAGTGGAACCTCACTTTTGATAGAGCAGTGTTGAAAGACACTTGTTGTAGAATCTGCAGGTGGATATTTGGAGTGCTTTGAAGCCTTCCTTGGAAACGGGAATATCTTCACATAAAAACTAGACATAAGCATTCTCTGAAACTTCTTTGTGATGTGTCTATTCAACTCACAGAGTTGAACCTTCCTTTTTATGGAGCAGTTTTGAAACACTGTTTTTGGAGAATCTGCAAGTGGATATTTGGAGCGCTTTGAGGCCTATGGTAGAAAAAGAAATATCTTCATTTAAATAGTAGACAGAAGCATTCTGAGAAACTTCTTTGTGATGTTTGCATTCAACTACCAGAGTTGAACCTTCCTTTTGATAGAGCAGTTTTGAAACACTCTTTGTGTAGAATCTGCATGTGGATATCTGGAGCGATTTGAGGCCTATGGTCAAAAAGGAAATATCTTCCTATGAAAAACAGACAAAAGCATTCTCAGAAACTACTTTGAGATATGTGCATTTAACTCACAGAGTTGAAACTTTTTTTTGATAGAGCAGTTTTGAAACACTCTGTAAAATCTGAAAGTGGATATTTGGAGCTATTTGAGGGCTATGGTGGTAAAGAAAATATATTCCCATTAAACTAGACAGAAGCATCCTCAGAAACTTCTTTATGATGTTTGCATTAAACTCACAGAGTTGAACATACCTTTCCATAGAGCAGTTTTGAAACACTCTTTTTGGGGAATCCGCAAGTGGATATTTGGACCGCTTTGAGACCTTTGCTGGAAATGGGAATATCTTCACATATAAACTAGACAGAAGCATTCTCGGAAACTTCTTCGTGATGTGTGCATTCTGCTCCCAAAGTTGAACCTTCCTCTTCATAAAGCAGTTTTGAAACACTCTTTTGTACAATCTACCATTGGATATGTGGAAGGCTTTGATGCCCATGGTAGAAAAGGATACATCCTCATATAAAATCTAGACAGAAGGATTCACAGAAACTGCTGTGTGATGTGTGCATCCAAATCACGGAGTTGAACTTTTCTTTTGTTAGAGCAGTTTTGAAACCCTGTTTCCGTGGAATCTGCCAGTGGACATTTGGAGCGCATTGAGGGCTATGGTGGAGAAGGAAATATCTCCACATAAAAACTAGAAAGAAGCATTCTCAGAAACATCTATGTGAAGTGTGCATTCAACTCACAGAGTTGAACCTTCCTTTTGATAGAAGAGTTTTGAAACACTCTTTTGTACAATTGCAGGTGAATATTTGGAGCGCTTTGAAGCCTTTGTTGGAAATGGGAATATCCTCACATAAAAACTAGCCAGAAGCATTCTCAGAAACTTCTTTGTGATGTGTGCATTGAACCCAGAGAGATGAACCGTTCCTTTGAGAGAGCAGTTTTGAAACGTGTTTTTGTAAGATCTGCAAGTGGATATTAGGGGCGCTTTGAGTCCTTAGGTGGAAACGGGAATATCTTCGAATAAAAACTAGACAGAATTATTCTCAGAAACTTCTTTGTGATGTGGGCATTCAACTAACACAGTTGAACATGTCTTTTGACAGAGCAGTTCTGAAACACTCTTTTTGTAGAATCCGCCAGTGGATATTTGGAGCGCTTTGAGGGCTATTGTGCAAATGGGAATATCTTCACCTAAAAACTAGACCGAAGCAATCCCAGAAACTACTTTGTGATGTTTGCATTCAACTCACAGAGTTGAACCTACCTCTTCATAGGGCAGTTTGGAAAACCTCTTTTTGTAGAATCTGCAAGTGGATATTTGGACCACTTTGAGGCCTTCATAGGAAACAGTACTATCTTCACATAAAAACTAGGTAGAAGCATTCTCAGAAACTTCTTTGTGATGTGTGAATTCAACTCACAGTGTTGAACCTTCCTTTAATAGAGCAGTTTTGAAACACTCTTTTTGTAGAATCTGCCAGTAGATATTTGGAGCGCTTTGAGGCCTTCGTTGGAAACCGGAATATCTTCACATAAAAAGTAGATAGAGGCATTCTCAGAAACTTTTTTGTGATATGTAGATTCAACTCACAGCGCTGAACCTTTCTTTTGATAGAGCAGTTTTGAAAAACTCTTTTATCGAATCTGCAAGTAGACATTTGGAGTGCTTTGAGGGCTGTGGTCGAAAAGGAAATATCTTCACATAGAAACTAGACTGAAGCATTCTCAGCAACTTCTTTGTGACGTTTGAATTCATCTCACAGTGTTGAACATACCTTTTCATAGAGCAGTTTTGAAACACTATTTTTGTAGAATCTGCAATTGGATATTTGGACAGCGTTGAGGCCTTCAATGGAAACGGGAATATCTTCACATAAAAACTAGACAGAAGCATTCTCTGAAACTTCTTTGTGATGTGTGTATTCAACTCACAGAGTTGAACCATCTTTTTTATGGAGCAGTTTTGAAACAGTGTTTTTGTAGAATCAGCAAGTGGATATTGGGAGCGCTTTGAGGCCTCTGGTGGAAAGGGAATGTCTTCACATAAAAACTGGACAAAAGCATTCTCAGAAACATCTTTGTGATGTTTGCATTCAACTCACAGAGTTGATCCTTCCTTTTAATAGGGCAGTTTTGCAACACTCTTTTTGTAGAATGCACCAGTGGGCTTTTGGAGCACGTCAAGGGCTATGGTGAAAAAGGAAATATCTTCACATAAAAACTAGACAGAAGTATTCTGTAAAACTCCTTTGTGATGTTTGCATTCAACTCAGAAAGTTGAACTTCTCTTTATATAGTCCAGTTTTCAAACACTATTTTTGTAGAATCTGCAAGTGGATACTGGGACTGCTTTGAGGCCTTCGTTGGAAACGGGTATCTTCACATAAAAACTAGACTGAAGGATTCTTAGAAACTTCTTTTTGATGTGTGCATTCAACTCACCGAGTGGAACCTCACTTTTGATAGAGCAGTGTTGAAAGACACTTGTTGTAGAATCTGCAGGTGGATATTTGGAGTGCTTTGAAGCCTTCCTTGGAAACGGGAATATCTTCACATAAAAACTAGACATAAGCATTCTCAGAAACTCCTTTGTGATCTGTCCATTCAGCTCACAGAGTTGAACCTTCCTTTTGATAGAGCAGTTTTGAAACACTCTTTCTGTAGAGTCTGCAAGTGGATATCAGGAGCGCTTTGAGACCTATGGCAGAAAAAGAAATATCTGGCTCTAAAAACTAGACAGAAGCATTCTGAGAAACTTCTTTGTGATGTTTGCATTCAACTACCAGAGTTGAACCTTCCTTTTGATAGAGCAGTTTTGAAACATTCTTTGTGTAGAATCTGCATGTGGATATCAGGAGCGCTTTGAGGCCTATGGCAGAAAAAGAAATATCTGGCTCTAAAAACTAGACAGAAGCATTCTCAGAAACTACTTTGAGATATGTGCATTCAACTCACAGAGTTGAAACTTTTTTTTGATAGAGCAGTTTTGAAACACTCTGTAGAATCTGAAAGTGGATATTTGGAGCTTTTTGAGGGCTATGGTGGAAATGAAAATATATTCCCATTAAACTAGACAGAACCATCCTCAGAAACTTCTTTATGATGTTTGCATTAAACTCACAGAGTTGAACATACCTTTCCATAGAGCAGTTTTGAAACACTCTTTTTGGGGAATCCGCAAGTGGATATTTGGACCGCTTTGAGACCTTTGCTGGAAATGGGAATATCTTCACATATAAACTAGACAGAAGCATTCTCGGAAACTTCTTCGTGATGTGTGCATTCTGCTCCCAAAGTTGAACCTTCCTCTTCATAAAGCAGTTTTGAAACACTCTTTTGTACAATCTACCATTGGATATGTGGAAGGCTTTGATGCCCATGGTAGAAAAGGAAACATCCTCATATAAAATCTAGACAGAAGGATTCACAGAAACTGCTGTGTGATGTGTGCATCCAAATCACGGAGTTGAACTTTTCTTTTGTTAGAGCAGTTTTGAAACCCCGTTTCCGTGGAATCTGCCAGTGGACATTTGGAGCGCATTGAGGGCTATGGTGGAGAAAGAAATATCTTCACATAAAAACTAGAAAGAAGCATTCTCAGAAACACCTATTTGAAGTGTGCATTCAACTCACAGAGTTGAACCTTACTTTTGACAGAACAGTTTTGAAACTCACTTTTGTACAATTGCAGGTGAATATTTGGAGCGCCTTGAAGCCTTTGTTGGAAGTGGGAATATCTTCACATACAAACTAGCCAGAAGCACTCTCAGAAACTTCTTTGTGATGTGTGCATTGAACCCAGAGAGATGAACCGTTCCTTTGAGAGAGCAGTTTTGAAACGTGTTTTTGTAAGATCTGCAAGTGGATATTTGGGGCGCTTTGAGCCCTTAGGTGGAAACGGGAATATCTTCGAATAAAAACTAGACAGAATTATTCTCAGAATCTTCTTTGTGATGTGGGCATTCAACTAACACAGTTGAACATTTCTTTTGACAGAGCAGTTCTGAAACACTCTTTTTGTAGAATCCGCCAGTGGATATTTGGAGCGCTTTGAGGGCTATTGTGCAAACGGAAATATCTTCACCTAAAAACTAGACCGAAGCAATCCCAGAAACTACTTTGTGATGTTTGCATTAAACTCATAGAGTTGAACCTACCTCTTCATAGAGCAGTTTGGAAAACCTCTTTTTGTAGAATCTGCAAGTGGATATTTGGACCACTTTGAGGCCTTCATAGGAAACAGTACTATCTTCACATAAAAACTAGGTAGAAGCATTGTCAGAAAGTTCTTTGTGATGTGTGAATTCAACTCACAGAGTTGAACCTTCCTTTAATAGAGCAGTTTTGAAACACTCTTTTTGTAGAATCTGCAAGTAGATATTTGGAGCGCTTTGAGGCCTTCGTTGGAAACCGGAATATCTTCACATAAAAAGTAGATAGAGGCATTCTCAGAAACTTTTTTGTGATATGTAGATTCAACTCACAGCGCTGAACCTTTCTTTTGATAGAGCAGTTTTGAAAAACTCTTTTATCGAATCTGCAAGTAGACATTTGGAGTGCTTTGAGGGCTGTGGTCGAAAAGGAAATATCTTCACATAGAATCTAGACTGAAGCATTCTCAGCAACTTCTTTGTGACGTTTGCATTCATCTCACAGTGTTGAACATACCTTTTCATAGAGCAGTTTTGAAACACTCTTTTTGTAGAATCTGCAATTGGATATTTGGACTGCGTTGAGGCCTTCACTGGAAACGGGAATATCTTCACATAAACACTAGACAGAAGCATTCTCTGAAACTTCTTTGTGATGTGTGTATTCAACTCACAGAGTTGAACCATCTTTTTTATGGAGCGGTTTTGAAACAGTGTTTTTGTAGAATCAGCAAGTGGATATTGGGAGCGCTTTGAGGCCTCTGGTGGAAAGGGAATGTCTTCACATAAAAACTGGACAGAAGCATTCTCAGAAACATCTTTGTGATGTTTGCATTCAACTCACAGAGTTGATCCTTCCTTTTAATAGGGCAGTTTTGCAACACTCTTTTTGTAGAATGCACCAGTGGGCTTTTGGAGCACGTCAAGGGCTATGGTGAAAAAGGAAATATCTTCACATAAAAACTAGACAGAAGTATTCTCTAAAACTCCTTTGTGATGTTTGCATTCAACTCAGAAAGTTGAACTTCTCTTTATATAGTCCAGTTTTCAAACACTATTTTTGTAGAATCTGCAAGTGGATACTGGGACTGCTTTGAGGCCTTCGTTGGAAACAGGATTATCTTCTCATAAAAACTAGACTGAAGGATTCTTAGAAACTTCTTTGTGATGTGTGCATTCAACTCACCGAGTGGAACCTCACTTTTGATAGAGCAGTGTTGAAAGACACTTGTTGTAGAATCTGCAGGTGGATATTTGGAGTGCTTTGAAGCCTTCCTTGGAAACGGGAATATCTTCACATAAAAACTAGACATAAGCATTCTCAGAAACTCCTTTGTGATCTGTCCATTCAGCTCACAGAGTTGAACCTTCCTTTTGATAGAGCAGTTTTGAAACACTCTTTCTGTAGAGTCTGCAAGTGGATATCAGGAGCGCTTTGAGGCCTAGGCAGAAAAAGAAATATCTGTATATAAAAACTAGACAGAAGCATTCTGAGAAACTTCTTTGTGATGTTTGCATTCAACTACCAGAGTTGAACCTTCCTTTTGATAGAGCAGTTTTGAAACACTCTTTGTGTAGAATCTGCATGTGGATATCTGGAGCGATTTGAGGCCTATGGTCAAAAAGGAAATATCTTCCTATGAAAAACTGACAAAAGCATTCTCAGAAACTACTTTGAGATATGTGCATTCAACTCACAGAGTTGAAACTTTTTTTTGATAGAGCAGTTTTGAAACACTCTGTAGAATCTGAAAGTGGATATTTGGAGCTATTTGAGGGCTATGGTGGAAAAGAAAATATATTCCCATTAAACTAGACAGAAGCATCCTCAGAAACTTCTTTATGATGTTTGCATTAAACTCACAGAGTTGAACATACCTTTCCATAGAGCAGTTTTGAAACACTCTTTTTGGGGAATCCGCAAGTGGATATTTGGACTGCTTTGAGACCTTTGCTGGAAATGGGAATATCTTCACATATAAACTAGACAGAAGCATTCTCAAGAAACTTCTTCGTGATGTGTGCATTCTACTCCCAAAGTTGAACCTTCCTTTTCATAAAGCATTTTTGAAACACTCCTTTTGTACAATCTACAATTGGATATTTGGAACGCTTTGATGCCCGTGGTAGAAAAGGAAATCTCCTCATATAAAAACTAGACAGAAGGATTCACAGAAACTGCTGTGTGATGTGTGCATCCAAATCACGGAGTTGAACTTTTCTTTTGTTAGAGCAGTTTTGAAACCCTGTTTCCGTGGAATCTGCCAGTGGGCATTTGGAGCGCATTGAGGGCTATGGTGGAGAAGGAAATATCTTCACATAAAAACTAGAAAGAAGCATTCTCAGAAACATCTATGTGAAGTGTGCATTCAACTCACAGAGTTGAACCTTCCTTTTGATAGAAGAGTTTTGAAACACTCTTTTGTACAATTGCAGGTGAATATTTGGAGCGCTTTGAAGCCTTTGTTGGAAATGGGAATATCCTCACATAAAAACTAGCCAGAATCATTCTCAGAAACTTCTTTGTGATGTGTGCATTGAACCCAGAGAGATGAACCGTTCCTTTGAGAGAGCAGTTTTGAAACGTGTTTTTGTAAGATCTGCAAGTGGATATTTGGGGCGCTTTGAGTCCTTAGGTGGAAACGGGAATATCTTCGAATAAAATCTAGACAGAATTATTCTCAGAATCTTCTTTGTGATGTGGGCATTCAACTAACACAGTTGAACATTTCTTTTGACAGAGCAGTTCTGAAACACTCTTTTTGTAGAATCCGCCAGTGGATATTTGGAGCGCTTGGAGGGCTATTGTGCAAATGGAAATATCTTCACCTAAAAACTAGACCGAAGCAATCCCAGAAACTACTTTGTGATGTTTGCATTCAACTCACAGAGTTGAACCTACCTCTTCATAGAGCAGTTTGGAAAACCTCTTTTTGTAGAATCTGCAAGTGGATATTTGGACCACTTTGAGGCCTTCATAGGAAACAGTACTATCTTAACATAAAAACTAGGTAGAAGCATTGTCAGAAAGTTCTTTGTGATGTGTGAATTCAACTCACAGAGTTGAACCTTCCTTTAATAGAGCAGTTTTGAAACACTCTTTTTGTAGAATCTGCCAGTAGATATTTGGAGCGTTTTGAGGCCTTCATTGGAAACCGGAATATCTTCACATAAAAAGTAGATAGAGGCATTCTCAGAAACTTTTTTGTGATATGTAGATTCAACTCACAGCGCTGAACTTTTCTTTTGATAGAGCAGTTTTGAAAAACTCTTTTATCGAATCTGCAAGTAGACATTTGGAGTGCTTTGAGGGCTGTGGTCGAAAAGGAAATATCTTCACATAGAAACTAGACTGAAGCATTCTCAGCAACTTCTTTGTGACGTTTGCATTCATCTCACAGTGTTGAACATACCTTTTCATAGAGCAGTTTTGAAACACTATTTTTGTAGTATCTGCAAGTGGATATTTGGACTGCTTTGAGGCCTTCATTGGAAACGGGAATATCTTCACATAAACACTAGACAGAAGCATTCTCTGAAACTTCTTTGTGATGTGTGTATTCAACTCACAGAGTGGAACCATCTTTTTTATGGAGCGGTTTTGAAACAGTGTTTTGGTAGAATCAGCAATTGGATATTTGGAGCGCTTTGAGGCCTCTGGTGGAAAGGGAATGTCTTCACATAAAAACTGGACAGAAGCATTCTCAGAAACATCTTTGTGATGTTTGCATTCAACTCACAGAGTTGATCCTTCCTTTTAATAGGGCAGTTTTGCAACATTCTTTTTGTAGAATGCACCAGTGGGCTTTTGGAGCACGTCAAGGGCTATGGTGAAAAAGGAAATATCTTCACAAAAAACCAGACAGAAGTATTCTGTAAAACTCCTTTGTGATGTTTGCATTCAACTCAGAAAGTTGAACTTCTCTTTATATAGTCCAGTTTTCAAACACTATTTTTGTAGAATCTGCAAGTGGATACTGGGACTGCTTTGAGGCTATCGTTGGAAACAGGATTATCTTCACATAAAAACTAGACTGAAGGATTCTTAGAAACTTCTTTGTGATGTGTGCATTCAACTCACCGAGTGGAACCTCACTTTTGATAGAGCAGTGTTGAAAGACACTTGTTGTAGAATCTGCAGGTGGATATTTGGAGTGCTTTGAAGCCTTCCTTGGAAACGGGAATATCTTCACATAAAAACTAGACATAAGCATGCTCAGAAACTCCTTTGTGATCTGTCCATTCAGCTCACAGAGTTGAACCTTCCTTTTGATAGAGCAGTTTTGAAACACTCTTTCTGTAGAGTGTGCAAGTGGATATCAGGAGCGCTTTGAGGCCTATGGCAGAAAAAGAAATATCTGGCTCTAAAAACTAGACAGAAGCATTCTGAGAAACTTCTTTGTGATGTTTGCATTCAACTACCAGAGTTGAACCTTCCTTTTGATAGAGCAGTTTTGAAACACTCTTTGTGTAGAATCTGCATGTGGATATCAGGAGCGCTTTGAGGCCTATGGCAGAAAAAGAAATATCTGGCTCTAAAATCTAGACAGAAGCATTCTCAGAAACTACTTTGTGTTATGTGCATTCCACTCACAGAGTTGAAACTTTTTTTTGATAGAGCAGTTTTGAAACACTTTGTAGAATCTGAAAGTGGATATTTGGAGCTCTTTGAGGGCTATGGTAGAAAAGAAAATATATTCACATTAAACTAGACAGAAGCATTCTCAGAAACTTCTTTATGATGTTTGCATTAAACTCACAGAGTTGAACATACCTTTCCATAGAGCAGTTTTGAAACACTCTTTTTGTGGAATCCGCAAGTGAATATTTGGACCGCTTTGAGACCTTCGCTGGAAATGGGAATATTTTCACATATAAACTGGACAGAAGCATTCTCGGAAACTTCTTCGTGATGTGTGCATTCTGCTCCCAAAGTTGAACCTTCCTTTTCATAAAGCAGTTTTGAAACACTCTTTTGTACAATCTACCATTGGATATGTGGAAGGCTTTGATGCCCATGGTAGAAAAGGAAACATCCTCATATAAAATCTAGACAGA
>NC_000019.10:24891356-24895790 GCF_000001405.40 Homo sapiens
CTCTGTTTGTAAAGTCGGCAAGTGGATATTCAGACCTCTTTGAGGCCTTCGTTGGAAACGGGATTTCTTCATATTCTGCTAGACAGAAGAATTCTCAGTAACTTCCTTGTGTTGTGTGTATTCAACTCACAGAGTTGAACGATCCTTTACACAGAGCAGACTTGAAACACACTTTTTGTGGAATTTGCAAGTGGAGATTTCAGCCTCTTTGAGGTCAATGGTAGAATAAGAAATATCTTCCTATAGAAACTAGACAGAATGATTCTCAGAAACTCCTTTGTGATGTGTGCGTTCAACTCACAGAGTTTAACCTTTCTTTTCATAGAGCAGTTAGGAAACACTCTGTTTGTAAAGTCTGCAAGTGGATATTCAGACCTCCTTGAGGCCTTCGTTGGAAACGGGATTTCTTCATATTCTGCTAGACAGAAGAATTCTCAGAAACTTCCTTGTGTTGTGTGTTTTCAACTCACAGAGTTGAACGATCCTTTACACAGAGCAGACTTGAAACACTCTTTTTGTGGAATTTGAAAGTGGAGATTTCAGCCGATTTGTGGTCAATGGTAGAAAACGAAATATCTTCGTACAAAAACAAGACAGAATGATTCTCAGAAACTCCTTTGTGATGTGTGCGTTCAACTCACAGAGTTTAACCTTTCTTTTCATAGAATAGTTAGGAAACACTCTGTTTGTAAAGTCTGCAAGTGGATATTCAGATCTCCTTGAGGCCTTCGTTGGAAACGGGATTTCTTCATATTCTGCTAGAGAGAAGAATTCTCAGTAACTTCCTTGTGTTGTGTGTATTCAACTCACAGAGTTCAACCATCCTTTACACAGAGCAGACTTGAAACACTCTTCTTGTGGAATTTGCAAGTGGAGATTTCAGCCGCTTTGAGGTCAATGGTAGAAAAGGAAATATCTTCGTATAAATCTAGACAGAATCATTCTCAGAAACTGCTCTGTGATGTGTGCGTTCAACTCTCAGAGTTTAACTTTTCTTTTCATTCAGCAGTTTGGAAACACTCTGTTTGTAAAGTCTACACGTGGATATTTTGACCACTTAGAGACCTTCGTTGGAAACGGGTTTTTTTCATGTAAGGCTAGACAGAAGAATTCCCAGTAACTTCCTTGTGTTGTGTGCATTC
Source organism: Homo sapiens (assembly GCF_000001405.40). NCBI lineage: Eukaryota > Metazoa > Chordata > Mammalia > Primates > Hominidae > Homo > Homo sapiens. The sequence continues at coordinate 24,892,499 of NC_000019.10, forward strand.
AACTCACAGAGATGAACGTTCCCTTAGACAGAGCAGATTTGAAACACTCTATTTGTGCAATGTGCAAGTGTAGATTTCAAGCGCTTTAAGGTCAATGGCAGAAAAGAAAATATCTTCTTTTCAAAACTAGACAGAATCATTCCCACAAACTGCGTTGTGATGTTTTCGTTCAACTCACAGGGTTTAACCTTTCTTTTCATAGAGCAGTTAGGAAACACTCTGTTTGTAAAGTCTCTAAGTGGATATACTGACATCTTGTTGCCTTCTTTGGAAACGGGATTTCTTCATATTCTGCTATACAGAAGAATTCTCAGAAACTTCCTTGTGTTGTGTGTTTTCAACTCACAGAGTTGAACGATGCTTCACACAGAGTAGACTTGAAACACTCTTTTTGTGGAATTTGCAAGTGGAGATTTCAGCCGCTTTGAGGTCAATGGTAGAATAGGATATATGTTCCTATAGAAAATTGACAGAATGATTGTCAGAAACTCCTTGGTGCTGTGTGCGTTCAACTCACAGAGTTTAACCTTTCTTTTCATAGAGCAGTTAGGAAACACTCTGTTTGTAAAGTCTGCAAGTGGATATTCAGACCTCTTTGAGGCCTTCGTTGGAAACGGGATTTCTTCATATTCTGCTAGAGAGAAGAATTCTCAGTAACTTCCTTCTGTTGTGTGTATTCAACTCACAGAGTTCAACGATCCTTTACACAGAGCAGACTTGAAACACTCTTTTTGTGGAATTTGCAAGTGGACATTTCAGCCGCTTTGAGGTCAATGGTAGAAAAGGATATATCTTCGTATAAAAACTAGACAGAATTATTCTCAGAAACTCCTTTGTGATGTGTGCGTTCAACTCACAGAGTTTAACCTTTCTTTTCGTAGAGCAGTTAGGAAACACTCTGTTTGTAAAGTCGGCAAGTGGATATTCAGACCTCTTTGGGGCCATCGTTGGAAATGGGATTTCTTCATATTCTGCTAGACAGAAGAATTCTCAGTAACTTCCTTGTGTTGTGTGTATTCAACTGACAGAGTTGAACGATCCTTTACACAGAGCAGACTTGAAACACACTTTTTGTGGATTTTGCAAGTGGAGATTTCAGCCTCTTTGAGATCAATGGTAGAATAGGAAATATCTTCCTATAGAAACTAGACAGAATGATTCTCAGAAACTCCTTTGTGATGTGTGCGTTCAACACACAGAGTTTAACCTTTCTTTTCGTAGAGCAGTTAGGAAACACTCTGTTTGTAAAGTCGGCAAGTGGATATTCAGACCTCTTTGAGGCCATCGTTGGAAATGGGATTTCTTCATATTCTGCTAGACAGAAGAATTCTCAGTAACTTCCTTGTGTTGTGTGTATTCAACTGACAGAGTTGAACGATCCTTTACACAGAGCAGACTTGAAACACTCTTTTTGTGGAATTTGCAAGTGGAGATTTCAGCCGCTTTGAGGTCAATGGTAGAAAAGGAAATATCTGCGTATAAAAACTAGACAGAATGATTCTCAGAAACTCCTTTGTGATGTGTGCGTTCAACTCACAGAGTTTAACCTTTCTTTTCATAGAGCAGTTAGGAAACACTCTGTTTGTAAACTCTGCAAGTGGATATTCAGACATCTTAGAGGCTTTCGTTGGAAACGGGAATTCTTCATATTCTGCTATACAGAAGAATTCTTAGAAACTTCCTTGTGTTGTGTGTTTTCAACTCACAGAGTTGAACGATGCTTTACACAGAGTAGACTTGAAACACTCTTTTTGTGGAATTTGCAAGTGGAGATTTCAGCCGCTTTGAGGTCAATGGTAGAAAAGGAAATATCTTCGTATAAAAACTAGACAGAATGATTCTCAGAAACTCCTTTGTGATGTGTGCGTTAAACTCACAGAGTTTAACCTTTCTTTTCATAGAACAGTTAGGAAACACTCTGTTTGTAAAGTCTGCAAGTGGATATTCAGACCTCTTTGAGGCCTTCGTTGGAAACGGGATTTCTTCATATTCTGCTAGAGAGAAGAATTCTCAGTAACTTCTTTCTGTTGTGTGTATTCAACTCACAGAGTTCAACGATCCTTTACACAGAGCAGACTTGAAACAGTCTTTTTGTGGAATTTGCAATTGGAGATTTCAGCCGCATTGAGGTCAATGGTAGAAAAGGAAATATCTTCGTATAAAAACTAGACAGAATGATTCTCAGAAACTCCTTTGTGATGTGTGCGTTCAACTCACAGAGTTTAACCTTTCTTTTCTTAGAGCAGTTAGGAAACACTCTGTTTGTAAAGTCTGCAAGTGGATATTCAGACCTCCTTGAGGCCTTCGTTGGAAACGGGATTTCTTCATATTATGCCAGACAGAAGAATTCTCAGTAACTTCCTTGTGTTGTGTGTATTCAACTCACAGAGTTCAACGATCCTTTACACAGAGCAGACTTGAAACACTCTTCTTGTGGAATTTGCAAGTTGAGATTTCAGCCGCTTTGAGGTCAATGGTAGAATAGGGAATATCATCCTATAGAAACTAGACAGAATGATTCTCAGAATCTCCTTTGTGATGTGTGCGTTCAACTCACAGAGTTTAACCTTTCTTTTCGTAGAGCAGTTAGGAAACACTCTGTTTGTAAAGTCGGCAAGTGGATATTCAGACCTCCCTTGAGGCCTTCGTTGGAAACGGGATTTCTACATTTTATGCTAGACAGAAGAATTCTCAGTAACTACCTTGTGTTGTGTGTATTCAACTCACAGAGTTGAACGATCCTTTACAGAGAGCAGACTTGAAACACTCTTTTTGTGGAATTTGCAAGTGGAGATTTCAGCCGCTTTGAGGTCAATGGTAGAATAGGAAATATCTTCCTATAGAAACTAGACAGAATGATTCTCAGAAACTCCTTTGTGATGTGTGCGTTCAACTCACAGAGTTTAACCTTTCTTTTCAAAAAGCAGTTAGGAAACACTCTGTTTGTAAAGTCTGCAAGTGGATATTCAGACATCTTTGAGGCTTTCCCTGGAAATGGGATTTCTTCATATTCTGATATACAGAAGAATTCTCAGAAATTTCCTTGTGTTGTGTGTTTTCAACTCACAGAGTTGAACGATGCTTTACACAGAGTAGACTTGAAACACTCTTTTTGTGGAATTTGCAAGTGGAGATTTCAGCCGCTTTGAGGTCAATGGTAGAAAAGGAAATATCTTCGTATAAAAACTAGACAGAATGATTCTCAGAAACTCCTTTGTGATGTGTGCGTTCAACTCACAGAGTTTAACCTTCTTTTCATAGAGCAGTTAGGAAACACTCTGTTTGTAAAGTC
>NC_000019.10:24895890-24898313 GCF_000001405.40 Homo sapiens
TTGTCATGTGTGCGTTCAACACACAGAATTTAATCAATTAGGACCTCTTGAGGCATTTGTTGGAAAACGGATTCTTCGTAAAATGCTAGACTGAAGAATTCTCAGGAAATTCTTTGTGTTGTGTGTATTCAACTCACAGAGTAGAACCTTCCTTTAAACAGAGCAGATTTGAAACACTCTTTTTGTGGAATTTTCAAGTGGAGATTTCAAACGCTTGAGGCCAATGGTAGAAAAGGAAATATCTTCGTATAAAAATTAGACAGAATCATTCTCAACAACTGCTTTGTGATGTGTGTGTTCAACACAGAGAGTTTAACCAATTAGGACCTCTTTGAGGCATTTGTTGGAAAATGGATTTCGTCGTAAAATGCTGGACAGAAGAATTCTCAGGAACTTCTTTGTGTTGTGTGTATTCAACTCACAGAGTAGAACCTTCCTTTAGACAGAGAAGATTTGAAACACTCTTTTTGTGGAATTTGCAACTGCAGATTTCAAGCGCTTTGAGGCCAATGGTAGAAAAGGAAATATCTTTGTATACAAACAAGACAGAATCATTCTCAGAAAATGCTTTGTGTTGTGTGCATTCAACACACAGAGTTTAACCTTTCTTTTCATAGAGCAGTTTGGAAACACTCTGTTTGTAAAGTCTGGAAGTGGATATTTGGACCTCTTTGAGGCCTTCATTGGAAACGGGATTTCTTCATATAATGCTACACAGAAGAATTCTCAGTAACTTCTTTGTGTTGTGGGTATTCACCTCACAGAATTGAAACTTCCTTTAGACAGAGCAAATTTCATACACACTTTTTGTGTAATTTGCAACGGGAGATTTCAAGCGCTTTAATGTCAATGGTAGAAAAAGAAATAACTTCGTGTAAAAACTAGAGAGAATCATTTCCAGAAAGTGCTTTGTGATGTGTGCGTTAAACTCACAGAGTTTAACCTTTCTTTTCATAGAGCAGTTGGGAAACACTCGGTTTGAAAGTCTGCCAAAGGATATTTGGACCTCCTTGAGGCCTTCGTTGGAAACGTGATTTCATCATATAATGCTAGAAAGAAGAATTCTCAGTAACTTATTTGTGTTGTGTGTATTAACGAACAGAGTTGAATCTTCCATTAGACAGAGCAGATTTGAAACACTCTCTTTGTCGAATTTTCAGTAGGAGATTCCAAGCGCTTTAAGGCCAAAAGTAGAAAAGGGAATATCTTCGTATAAAAGACAGACAGAATCATTCTCAGAAACTACTTCATGATGTGTGCGTTCAACTCACAGAGTTTAACCTTTCTTTTCATGGAGCAGTTTGGAAACACACTGTTGTAAAGTGGGCAAGTGGACATTTGGACCTCTTTGAGGCCTTGGTTGGAAACGAGATTTTTCATATAATGCTAGACAGAAGAATTCTCAGTTACTTCTTTGTGCTGTGTGTATTCAACTCACAGAGTTCTACATTCCTTTAGACAGAGCAGATTTGAAACACGCTTTTTGTGGAATTTGCAAGTGGAGATTTCAAGCGATTTGAGGCCAATGGTAGAAAAGGAAATATCTTCATATAAAAACTCGACAGAATCATTCTCACAAACTGCTTTGTGTTGTGTGCGTTCCACACACGGAGTTTAACCTTTCTTTTCATAGAGCAGTTTGCAAACTCTCTGTTTGTAAAGTCTGCAAGTGGATATTGGACCTCTTTGAGGCCTTCATTGGTAACGGGATTTCTTCATATAATGGTGGACAGAAGAATTCTGAGTAACTTCTTTGTGTTGTGGGTATTCACCTCACAGAATTCAACCTTCCTTTAGGCAGAGCAGATTTGAAACACTCTTTTTGAGGAATTTGCAAGTGGAGATTTCAAGCGCTTTGAGGCCAATGGTAGAAAAGGAAATATCTTCGTATAATCACCAGACAGAATCATTCTCAGAAACTACTTTGTGATGTTTGCTTTCAACTCACAGAGTTTAACCTTTCTTTTCATAGAGCAGTTTGGAAACACTCTGTTTGTAAAGTCTGCAAGTGGATATTCGGACGTCTTTGAGGCCTTCGTTGGAATGGGGTTTTCTTCATATAATGCTAGAAAGAAGAATTCTCAGTAACTTTTTTGTGTTGTGTGTATTCAACTCACAGAGTTGAACCTTCCTTTAGACAGAGCAAATTTGAAACACTATTTTTGTGGAATTTGCAAGTGGAGATTTCAAGCGCTTTGAGGCCAATGGTTGAAAAGAATAAACTTCGTATAAAAACTAGACAGAATCATTCTCAGAAACTACTTTGTGATGTGTGTGTTCAACTCAGGGAGTTTAACCTTTCAATTCACACAGCAGTTTGAAAACACTCTGTTTATAAAGTCTGCAAGTGGATAGTTGCACCTCTTTGACGTCTTCGTTGGAAACGGGATTTCTTCATATGATGCTACGCAGAAGAATCACAG
>NC_000019.10:24904771-24908589 GCF_000001405.40 Homo sapiens
GTAGAAAAGGAAATATCTTCGCATAATAACAGGACAGAATCATTCCCAGAAACTGCGTTATGATGTGTGCGTTTAACTCACAGAGTGAAACCTTTCTTTTCATAGAGCAGTTTGGAAACACTCTGTTTGTAAAGTCTGCAAGTGGATATTTGGACCTACTTGAGGCCTTCGTTGCAAACGGGATTTTTTCATATAATGCTAGACAGAAGAATTCTCAGTAACCTCCTTGTGTTGTGTGTATTCAACTCACAGAGTTGAAACTTCCTTTAGACAGAGCAGATTTGAAATACTCTTTTCGTGGAATGTGCAAGTGGAGATTTCAAGCGCTTTGAGGCCAATAGTAGAAAAGGAAATATCTTCGTATAAAACCTAGACAGAATCATTCCCAGAAACAGCGTTGTGATGTGTGCGTTCAACATACAGATTTAACATTTCTTTTCATAGAGCATTTAGGAAACACTCTGTTTGTAAAGTCTGCAAGTGGATATTTGGACCTCCTTGAGGCCTTCGTTGGAAACGGGATTTCCTCATATAATGCTAGACCGAAGAATTCTCAGTAACTTCCTTGTGTTGTGTGTATTCCACTGACAACAGCTGAGCCTACCTTTAGACAGAGCCGATTTGAAACACTCTTTTTGTGGAATTTGCAAGTGGAGATTTCAAGCGCTTTAAGTTCAATGCTAGAAAAGGAAATATCTTCGTATGAAAACTAGACAGAATCATTCCCAAAAACTGCTTTGTGATGTGTGCGTAGAACACACAGAGTTTAACCTTTCTTTTCATAGAGCCCTTTGGAAACACTCTGTTGGTCAAACTGGAAGTCGATATTCTGATCTCTTTGAGGCCTTCGTTGGAAACTGGATTTCTTCATATAATGCTAGACAGAAGAATTCTCAGTAACTTCCTTTTGTTGTGTGTACTCAACTCACAGAGGTGAACGTTCCTTTAGACACAGCAGATTTGAAACCCTCTTTTTGTGGAATTTGCAAGTGGAGATTTCATGTGCCTTGAGGCCAAAGGCAGAAAAGGAAATATCTTAGTAGAAAAACAAGACAGAATCATTCTCAGAAACTGCTTTGTGATGTATGCATTCAACTCAAAGAGTTTATCCTTACTTTTCGTACAGCAGTTTGGAAACACTCTGTTGGAAAAGTCTGCAAACGGATATTTTGATCTCTTTGAGGCCTTCTTTGGAAACGGGTTTTATTCATGTAAGGCTAGACAGAAAAATTCTCAGTAACATCTTTGTGTTGTGTGTATTAAGCTGACAGAGTTGACACTTCCTCTAGACAGAGCAGATTTGAAACACTCTTTTTGAGGAATTTGCAAGTGTAGATTTCAAACCCTTTGAGGTCAATGGTAGAAAAGGAAATATCTTCGTATAAAAACTAGGCAGAATGATTCTCAGAAAGTGCTATGTGATGTGTGCGTTCAACTCAAAGAGTTTTAACTTTCTTTTCATAGAGCAGTTAGGAAACACTCTGTTTGTCAAATCTGCAAGTCGATATTCGGAACTAGTTGAGGCCTTCTTTGGAAACGGGATTTCCTCATATAATGCTAGAAAGAGGAATTCCCAGTAACTTCCTTGTGTTGTGTGTACTCAACTCACACAGGTGAACTTTCCTTTAGACAGAGAAGATTTGAAACACTCTTTTTGTGGAATTTCAATTGGAGATTTCAAGTGCTTTGAGGCCAATGGTAGAAACGAAATATCTTCGTATAAAAACAAGACAAAATCATTCCCAGAAACTGTGTTGTGATGTGTGCGTTCAACTCACAGAGTTTAACCTTTCTTTTCATTGAGCAGTTTGGATAAAGTCTGTTTTTAAAGTCTGCAAGTGTATATTTGGACTTCTTAGATGCCTTAGTTGGAAACGGGATTTCTTCATATAATGCTAGAGAGAAGAATTCTTAGTAACTCCTTTGTGTTGTGTGCATTCAACTGACAGAGGTGAATCTTCCATTAGACAGAGCAGATTTGAAAAACGCTTTTTGTGGAATTTGCAGGTGGAGATTTCAAGCGGTTTAAGGCCAATGGAAGAAAAGGAAATATCTTAGTATAAAAACTAGACAGAATCATTCTCAGAAACTGATCTGTGATGTGTGCTTTCAACTCACAGTTTAAATTTTCTTTTCATTCCGCAGTTTGGAAACACTCTGTTTGTAAAGTCTGCAAGTGGATATTTTGTCCTCTTTGAGACCTTCGTTGGAAACGGGTTTTTTTCATGAAATGCTAGACAGAAGAATTCTCAGTAACTTCCTTGTTTTGTGTGTATTCAACTCACAGAGTTGAACGTTCCTTTAGACACAGCAGATTTGAAACACTCTTTTTGTGGAATTTGCAAGTGGAGATTTCAAGCGCTTTTTGGTCAATTGCAGAAATGGAAATATCTTCGTTTCAAAACTAGACAGAATCATTCCCAGAAACTGCGTTGTGATCTGGGCGTTCAACTCACAGAGTTTCACCTTTCTTTTCATTCAGCAATTTGGAAACACTCTGTTTGAAAAGTCAGCAAGTGGATATTTGGACCTCCTTGAGGAGTTCCTTGGAAACGGGATTTCCTCATTTAAGGCTAGACAGAAGAATTTTCAGTAACTTCCTCGTGTTGTGTGTATTCAACTGACAGAGTTGAACCTTCCTTCAGACAGAGCAGATTAGAAACACTCTTTTTGTGGAATTTGCAAGTGGAGATTTCAAACGCTTTGAGGCCAACGGTAGAAAAGGAAATATCTTCGTATAAAAACTACACAGAATCTTTCCCATAAACTGCTTTGTCATGTGTGCGTTCAACTCACAGAGTTTAACCTTTCTGCTCATACAGCAGTTTGGAAACACTCTGTTTGTAAAGTCTGCAAGTGGATATTTTGACCTCTTTGACGCCGTCGTTGGAAACGGGATTTCTTCATATAACGCTAGACAGAAGAATTCTAAGTAAGTCCTTTGTGTTGTCTGTGTTCAACTCACAGATGTGTACGTTCCTTTAGGCAGAGCAGACTTGAAACACTCTTTTTTGTGGAATTTGCAAGTGGAGATTTCGAGCGCTTTCAGGTCAATGATAGAAAAGGAAATATCTTCGTATAAAAACAAGACAAAATCATTCCCAGAAACTGCGTAGTGATGTGTCTGTTTAACTAACAGAGTTTAACCTTTCTTTTCGTACAGCATTTTGGAAACACTCTGTTGGTAAAGTCTGCAAGTGGATATTTGGACCACTTAGGTGACTTCGTTGGAAAAGGGATTTCTTCTTACAATGCTAGAGAGAAGAATTCTTAGTAACTTCTTTGTGTTGTGTGTATTCAACTGACAGAGTTGAGCATTCCTTTAGACAGAGCAGACTTGAAACACTCTTTTTGTGGAATTTGCAATTAGAAATTTCAAGCGCTTTGAGGCCAAAGGCAGAAGAGGAAATATCTTCGTATAAAAACAAGTCAGAATCATTCTCAGAAACTGCTTTATCATGTGTGCGTTCAACTCACGGAGTTTAACCTACCTTTTCATACAGCAGTTTGCAAACACTCTGTTTGTAAAGTCTGCAAGTAGATATTTGGACATCTTTGAGGCCTTCGTTGGAAACGGGTTTTATTCATGTAAGGCTAGACAGAAGATTTCTCAGTAACTTCTTTGTGTTGTGTGTATTCAACTGACAGAGTTGACCCTTCTTTTAGACAGAGCAGATTTGAAACACTCTTTTTGTGGAATTTGCAAGTGGAGATTTCAGACGCTTTGAGGTCAATGGTAGAAAAGGAAATTTCTTCGTATAAAAACTTGACAGAATGATTCTCAGAAACTGCTTCGTGATGTATGCGTTCAATTCAAA